>NC_000018.10:53333908-53634574 GCF_000001405.40 Homo sapiens | reverse complement strand
ATTAGCCCTTTGTCAGATGGATAGATTGCAAAGATTTTCTCCCATTCTTTAGGTTGCCTGTTCACTCTGATGATAGTTTTTTTGCTGTGCAGAAGCTCTTTAGTTTAATTAGATCCCATTTGTCTATTCTGGCTTTTGTTGACATTGCTTTTGGTGTTTTAGTCATGAAGTTCCCGCCCATGCCTATGTCCTGAATGGTATTGCCTAGGTTTTCTTCTAGAGTTTTTATGGTGTTAGGTCTTATGTTTAAGTCTTTAATTCAACTTGAGTTAATTTTTGTGTATGGTGTAAGGAAGGGATCCAGTTTCAGCTTTCTACATATGGCTAGCCAGTTTTCCCAGCACCATTTAATAGATAGGGAATCCTTTCCCCATTGCTTGTTTTTGTCAGGTTTGTCAAAGATCAGATGGTTGTAGATGTATGGTGTTATTTTTGGGGCCTCTGTTCTGTTGCATTGGTCTATGTGTCTGTTTTGGTACCAGTACCATGCTGTTTTTGTTACTGTAGCCTTGTAGTATAGTCTGAAGTCAGGTAGCATGATGCCTCCAGCTTTGTTCTTTTTGCTTAAGATTGTCTTGGCTATGTGGGCTCTTTTTTGGTTCCATATGAAATTTAAAGTAGTTTTTTTCCAATTCTATGAAGAAAGTCAGTGGTAGCTTGATGGGGATAGTATTGAATCTATAAATTACCTTGGGCAGTATGGCTGTTTTCATGATACTGATTCTTCCTATCCGTGAGCATGGAATGTTCTTCCATTTGTTTGTGTCCTCTTTTATTTTGTTGAGCAGTGGTTTGTAGTTCTTGAAGATGTCTTTCACAACCCTTGTAAGTTGGATTCCTAGGTATTTTATTCTCTTTGAAGCAATTGTGAATGGGAGTTCACTCATGATTTGGCTGACTGTTTGTCTATTATTGGTGTATAGGAATCTTGTGATTTTTGTACATTGATTTCATATCCTGAGATGTTGCTGAAGTTGTTTATCAGCTTAAGGAGATTTTGGGCTGAGATGGTGGGGTTTTCTAAAGATACAATCATGTCATCTGCAAACAGAGACAATTTGACTTCTTCTTTTCCTAATTGAATACCCTTTATTTATTTTTCTTTCCTGATTGCCCTAGCCAGAACTTGCAACACTATGTTGAATAGGAGTGGTGAGAGAGGGCATCCTTGTCTTGTGCCGGTTTTCAAAGGGAATGCTTCCAGCTTTTGCCCATTCCATATGATATTGACTGTGGGTTTGTCATACATAGCTTATGTTATTTTGAGATACATTCCATCAATACCTAGTTTATTGACAGTTTTTAGCATGAAAGGCTGCTGAATTTAGTCGAAGGCTTTTTCTGTATCTATTGAGATAATCATGTGTTTTTTGTCACTGGTTCTGTTTATGTGATGGGTTACGTTTATTGATTTGCATATGTTGAAGCGACCTTGTATCCCAGAGATGAAGATGACTTTATCATAGTGGATAAGATTTTTGATGTGCTGCTGGATTCGGTTTGCCAGTATTTTATTGAAGATTTTTGCATTGATATTCATCAGGGATATTGGCCTAAAATTCTCTTTTTTTGTTGTGTCTCTACTAGGCTTTGGTATCAGGATAATGCTGGCCTCATAAAATGAGTTAGGGAGGATTCCCTCTTTTTCTATTGATTGAAATATTTTCAGAAACAGTGGTTCCAGCTCTTCTTTGTAACTCTGGTAGAATTCGGCTGTGAATCCATCTGGTTCTGGACTTTTTTTGGTTGGTAGGCTGTTATCGCCTCAATTTCAGAACCTGTTATTGGTCTATTCAGAGATTCAACTTCTTGCTGGCTTAGTCTTGGGGGGTGTATGTGTCCTGGAATTTATCCATTACTTCTAGATTTTCTAGTTTATTGGCATAAAGGTGTTTATAGTATTCTCTGATGGTAGTTTGTATTTCTGTGGGATCGGTGGTGATATCCCCTTTGTCATTTTTTATTGCATGTATTTGATTCTTCTCTCTTTTCTTCTTTATTAGTCTTTCTAGCGGTCTATGTATTTTGTTGATCTTTTCAAAAAACCAACTCCTGGATTCATTGATTTTTTGAATGGTTTTTTTGTGTCTCTATTTCCTTCAGTTCTGCTCTGATCTTAGTATTTCTTGCCCTCTGCTAGCTTTTGAATTTGTTCGCGCTTGCTTCTCTAGTTCTTTTAATTGTGATATTAGGGTGTTGATTTTAGATCTTTCCTGCTTTCTCTTGTGGGCTTTTAGTGTTATAAATTTCCCTCTATACACTGCTTCACATGTGTCCCAGAGATTCTGGTACGTTGTGTCTTTGTTCTCATTGGTTTCAAAGAACATCTTTATTTCTGCCTTAATTTCGTTACTTACCCAGTAGTCATTCAGGAGCAGGTTGTTCAGTTTCCATGTGGTTGTGGTTTTGAGTGAGTTTGTTAGTCCTGAGTTCTAATTTGATTGCGCTACACAGATGAAGCTTTTAGCTAGCAGGCTTCAGAGAGAATAGGCTGCAGAATGTTTCTTAACAGACTTATGATAATGGATGTGGGCAAAATGCTTCAATTTTATCACTCAAAACCATGCACAACTTCTTTCAAAGCCTACCTATTGTGTGGCCTCGTCAGATGAATGCAGTTCTTTTCTTAATTAATCTCAACTAAAATATTATTCATAGGTGAAATGTAACATACTTTTTCTTACAATAGTACTTGAACCCAAACCTTTGAAATCTTGACACTTTTATGGAAGTGGCTAGCGTGTGGCATTTTGTTATGCATAACTCATTCTGTTGCTCATCCTTGAATTTTCTGTGAAGGATCAAACAACTTCAGAAAATGTGGCTACCCTAATTCGTATAATTAGATATGAATTTTTTAGTTTTAAAATATTAAATTTGCTTTACTTTTTAATATATATTTTTATAGACTATATTACTTGAATGAAGTAAGGTACAAAGACATTATCCAATTCTGTGTTTATCTGTTTCTTCCATTCTCAAGGGAAGTCTACAAGGGCTTCTACTGGTGAAAAAAGATGGTGAGAGATTGTGAATTAAAATTCTGGGGGAAAACATATTTTGAATTTCAATTGTCCTAAATGTGTCCAGGCATCAGGGAAGAAATTGATCCAACCCAAATGTAACTGATGGTTCCAAGTCACTTCTTAAATATAGCCAGAGCTTCATTGTAGAAATTTCACACTGAAGTAAATGATATAACAAAGATTGCAGTAATCCTTTTGTTTTTTCTACTTTCTCAAGATTGTTTTCCCTCTGTGTAGAAAAAAAATAGACGTCTTCAAGAATTAATTATCCTTCTCCTTTTTAACTGATGGTCCTGAACAACTAAAACTGTTGTTAGATTGTCTTTAAATTTCGTGTTTCTATGACTTCTCTAAACATTTACTCTGGGATGTACAGTCATGTGTCACAATGATGAGGATATATTCTGAGAAATGCATCATTAGGCAATTTTGTCATTGTTGTGTGAATATCATAGTGTGTACTTTCACAAATCCAGATGGTATAGCCTACTACATCCCTAGGCCATATGGTATCACCTATTTCTCCTGGGGTACAAACCTATACAGCATGTTACTCTGCTGAACACTGTAGGCAATTGTAATACAATGGTACGTATTTGTATATCTAAACATATTTAAACATAGAAACTGTACAATAAAAATACTATATAAAAGATGAAAAAAATGATACACCTGTATAATGTTCTTATGAATGTAATTTGAAGCACTGGGAATTGCTGTGGGTAAGTCAGCGATTGAGTGGAGAGTGAATGTGAAGGGTTAGGACATAACTGTACAGTACTGCAGACTCTATAAATACTATACATTTATGCTACATTAAATTTATTTTTAAAATATTTTATTCTTTGATAATAACTGGCTCAATGAAATTTTTTTACTTTATAAACTTTTTAATTTTTCCATTTTTGACTATTATGTAATAAAACTTAGTTTAAAACACAAACACATTGTGCACTTGTGCAAAAAAGATTTTCTTATATGTTGATTCTATAATTTTTTTTCTATTTTTAAATTTAAAAAATTGTGTTATTAAACTTTTTTATTCGAAATGAAGACAAAAACATACACGTTAGCTTAGGCCTACACAGTGTTAGATATGAGTTCTAAATTTCTCTTCAAAGAATCAATATGTCAGTATGTTCAATTCTTTGCCTTCTACTTTCAAACTTAACTTCCTCGTAAAGCAACATTTTCTGATTACCTGCTCCACCTTGACTCATTCCAATTACCTGCTCCACCCTTACTCATTCCGATTACCTGCTCATTCTCCAAACTGATTCATTCCAATTCCCTGCTCTGCCATAACCATTTTTCCTGCCAAACCACTCACCCCATCACTCTCTTTAAATTAGCCAGTCGGAATTAGTTGTAGCCTGTGCGGTCTAACACTAGCCAATAGGGGAACCACACGGCAGCAGGGGCCACGTGCCTCAGGAATAAGGCCCCCTTTTCCTCCCTTGTCCAGGTGTGCGCTCACTATTGCTCCATCTGTAAGAGCAGTTTAGAAGTAAACCGCCATGCTGTGAAGAAAATAAGAAAATTTTATGTTCAAGTGCTATTTCTTTTGTGGAACCGAAACTTTATTTATAACAACAGGATCAGAATCATCAATATCACTGTCTTCCACCTCCACATCTTGTCTCACTGGAAGATCTTCATGGCTAGTAACACCTGTGGAACTGTCATCTTCTACCACAACAATGCCTTCCTCTGGAATCTCTCCTGAAGAACCTGCATGATGCTGTTTTACAGTTTGTTTTTTTTTTTAATAAGTAGAAGGTGTGCACTCTACCAAAAAAAAAAGGCATAGTAGTTAGAATAAATACATAAACCAGTGGCAACTGCTTATTATTGTCTGGTATTATGTACTGTACACAGTTTTATATACTATACTTTCACATAACTGGCAGTGCAGTAGATTTGTTTATACCAGCATCACCACAAACATGTGAGTAATGTATTGTGCTGCAATGTTAGGACTGCTATAACCTCACTCAGACAATAGGAATTTTTCAGCTCCATTATAATCTTATGGGATTGCTGTCATAGATGTGGTTTGTCATTGACCAAAACATAGTTATACAGTGTATGACTGTGTATGAAATATGGAATAGAGGACTTGTAAAAATAACCCAATAGACTCTGAGCTACCTGAAGAAAGGCAACATCTAATAAATCTTTTTATTCCTAGTACTTCACGTAGTATCAATGTCATAGTAAGCAATAAATAAAATTGTTTTCAGTTTTCTAAATCAATACATCCTCACTCCAAGGACCAGTTTTAATATATCAAATACATGTCTACCAATACATGAATTACCCAAATAATTGATGAAAACCCTCAGAGTGATTCATACAATTGCTCCAGGGTCTATTTAAAGTTTTAAAATATAGACCCTCCCCTAAGTTCAAGATTACTGCAAAGATAACTTACATCTTCTTTTTAAAAAGCCCTTGATGATGTACAGAGTTGAGCTGCTTAAATATATTACATTTATCCAACCTTGCAAATAATTCACAGATGGGGCAATAAAATATCAAGGTTTTAATTCTAACCACTCTCCATGTTACCATGTAAAATGAGGCTGTGTTTCCCAGAAAGACTGAAGCAATTACGTATGTGTAGTTTGAAGCCCTACTTGTTTTAGTCCCTGTTTCTTTGTAGTAAAGAAAAACATTATCCACTCTCATCAAATCTAAACTTTGAGATGGTTGGGAGAGGGGAGGAAACATTGCAGAATGTTTGCATTCTACTCAAGAGAGAGATCCTGTCTGGAATGTTAGCCCATTGTTTTTTTTTAAGACCTCTGTCAAAACATATTTTCTTCAGTTCTTTCATAAATTATACCATATAATGGTTTTGGTCCCACTTTCAATCTGTAAACAGTATGCTCACAGCTGGCGAATCTTCTGTCTTGCTTCTGGCTTGCAGTGTTTCATTTTATTTAAGAATAATATCAGCTCAGAGTTGTAACTGGGACACAGACTTAATAAACTTGGTACACTGAAGTCCGTAAACCTACAAACTGGACTTGATACCTAGCTGCGCTGAGGTCTGAGTTCTGTTACACCTCCCTTCCCGCAGTGTGCACTTTTTTCTTTCTCTCACATGGCCATATGGTGACAGATGGCTCCTACAACTTAATGTTAGTCAATAACACTATACAATCTAAGCATGATTTATTTTCTCCTGATTTAAAAAACAACACACTGCCTCTCTACCTGCTTATATTGCAAACAATAAGTGCAACCGCAACAAAAACTCCTGCATAAAGTTATCTTTTATAGTCAGGGATCCTGGATGAGAGGTCTGAAGAACAAGAGTCTCAGTTCTCAAGAGCTGAGATCCAGAAGGAGCTCAGAAACCATTTTCAGGATCCAAAACCAGTGTCTTCAAAAGAATGGCATTGTGAATTAGTTCTAAAACGATACCTAAAGTGAGGCCCAGAAGTTGATAAGAAGCTCTCTTCAGAGGTATCATAAGAAAAGTGTTCTAGTGTCATCAGGAAAGATTTTGCAGAAAAATCTCAGACTTTTAAGTTTTCAGAGTCATTGATATCTTTCAGCCTCATACATCCTAAACTGCCGAGAGATGAGCTTGGTCTAATGCTAGGACATCGGTAGAGGCTGGCTGAGCACCAGATTTCCAAGCTTTTGCAGATTCTATTCAAACTGGAAAAAATAATCAAATAAATATAATTTAACAAATGCCCACAAGTTCATGGAATTTCACCTCTGCTTTAGAGACTGTGAAGAAGTCCAAAGTGTCCTGACCTCCCAGAATTTATTTTCCAGATGCAGAGAATAGACATACACACATGAAACAGCAGCAGACATAAACGTACACATAAAAAAGATTTTAAAAAGACAGTAGAGTATGTTATTAAATTCTAGAAGACATGGAACAAATTCCAAGAAAGAGCAGGTATTTCAGAGAAAGAGAAGTAACGAAGGCACCAGGGTCATGGGTCTTGAGCAAATCTCAAAACATAGAGAGTTTGTAAGTAAGCAAAATAAAGAAAGGAGAACTTTCTGATCAAGAAAAAAGTGGCATGAAGCTGGCATGTTTGAGGTTCAATAATGAAACAAGACTAGCCTCAGCAGAGCATACTTGAAAAGGTTTTTAATTTTCTGTTAAATTTTGTAAGTTTCCCTGAGGGGGGACCCAGCAGGTGTTTGAAGGAATTTTATACTCTTCCATTCTCATTACACATGTATATTCTAAATAGGAATTCGTAATCCTTGTGTAACAAAAGTGAATGTTATAAAGGGTCAGGATAGCCCAGTGGTTAAAATACAAAGAGCTATGAAACCACACTGCCTAAGATTAAATCCTGCCCCGTTTTTTCCATTTAACTACCTGTATAACCTTGAAGCAATTACTTAGTTTTTCTGTACTTCAGTTTGTTTTGTTAAACGATGTAATATAACCCATCTGATAGGGGTGTTAGTAATATCTGCAAAGCATTTAGATAGAATTGTCAGTAATAATTACCATCAATATCACCACCAACAACAAAATATAACAATAACTTTTAGCAATTATTATGAAGCTGTTACAAAAATTATATTAAAAGAGAATTGACTCCTCTGAAAAAATAACCCTTTGATATTAAAGTTGAGATCCTGAAATCTAGCTGTGTATAGGGCCAAACCCCAACACTGTTTAGGCTGCTGTACATTTACCGTCTCTACTAAAAATACAAAAATTAGCCAGGCGGGCGCCTGTAATCCAAGCTACTCAGGAGACTGAGGCAGGAGAATTGCTTAAACCCAGGAGGCGGAAGTCGCGGTGAGCCGAGATCGCACCACTGCACTCAAGCCTGGGCAACAGAGCGAGACTCCGTCTCAAAAAAAAAAAAAAAAAAAAAAAAAAAAGTTTTGTCGTTGTTGTGTGCTGATAGAAGGGAAGGAGGCAGAATATGTGATGCTAGTGACTTAGTGAGTTGAAGGTGAAGCAGGATTTTTCTAGGCTTCTTTGCTGGGCTTGTAGCAGAGCGTCTACCCAGCGGCGGCTGGTCTGTGCTCTGGCCCATGGCTTCAGCGACTGCAGGCTCAGCCCCTGGTGGGAGGGAGCCAGCGAGCAAGCACGGGGTCAAGGGAGCCAGCGAGCAAGCACGGGGTCAAGGGAGCCAGCGAGCAAGCACGGGGTCGGGCTGGCTGCTTCCAGCGCTGACGCAGGAGTAGTCTCTGGGCATAGACTACGGCCAGACAAGGCATGTTGCCCCGAGGGGAACGTGGCAGCACCCAGGCAGGGGTGCCCGTGACCCCAAAGCCCCATAGAGGGTTTTAGAGTGTGCTAATTAGCTCTTTTAGTCCCCCCAGCCCCACGGACAGTGGCGTGTTGACGACAGCTTAGTCAGCGCCTTGCCCCACTCTGGCTGTGGCTCTGGGACTGGCTGGGCCCTGCCGCTGTTTCCCTTGTGTGAGGCGGCTGCCCTCCATGATCAAAGGCAGAGGGCCAATGTTACAGCCTTTCTGGGTACCGCAGTTGGTGGGTCCCAAGCTTTTGTCCTGCATCCAAAAAGAATGAGGTCACGCTGACAAATTGAAGGGTGATGAGAATAGAGAGTTTTACTGAACGTTGAAACAGCTCTCAGCAGAGAAGGGAGGTGAAGGTCGGGTCGGGTCGTCACTCTCAGTGTGGCTGAGTCTGGGGTATTTTTTTTTATAGGCACCGGATGGGGGAAGGACAGGCTGTAAGTAGTATTGGAAAAGGTAACATTCGATTGGTTAAAAAGATTATTCAGAAAGAACCAATCAAAACAGGGTGGGCAAAGAGGAACAGTACTTTTCACTGTGGGTGGCAGGTGTCATCCAGAACCAGCAGTACAGGCTCACTTTGACTTGAAGTTGGGGTTTCACCAGGAACCTGCCCCTATCAGCCTACGCTTTTGTCTGCCTCCCACCGCTATCAAAGCATTCTAAGAAATTTCCTGCTATGATTCAAGAAGAAGCCAAACAAAACAATACAGATGATCAGACCAATCCTAAGTATTATTTGCATCTTCAGGACAGCTTCTCTGATTTCTTCAACACATTAATGGCGATTTTTTAAAGGACAAGTTTGAGCTAGATTAAAAGAGATTTGAGAGTAATAGAACCAGTAGTATAATAACAAAAGACTGAATAATAGTCTCTCCACAAAATTTTAATTAAACCGTAGCTACGACTACAAGGTAGCTAGTAGACAGAGAACACTGAAAAATTCAGGCTTAAGAAGGGAAATAAATGTCCTAAATCAGCAAAGTCATCTCTACAGCCCATATAGTAAAAAAAAAACAACAAACAAACAAACAAACAAAAAGCATTGAAGAGAGTGCTGTGAGGTTCTACTGGTAAAAGAACACAGATAACATCAATCAGAGTTTACTCACAGGAGGAAAGCGCCCTCCCCTGAGTCAGAAAATGTTCAGAAAAATTCTGAGACCTGTCAGACAGTGTACTGACTCCTGGAGAGTCAATAGAAAGGGGCTCAAATCGTTGAACAGACTGAACATTTCTTAAGAACAATACTTATGGGGAAAATGGAGGCATCTTGGAAAAAGGAGGTACCTCTTGAATAAAGATGGTGGTAATGGAAAAGAAGAAATGGAAGGTAGAATCCGCAATAAAATAAGAGAGTAAGAATCAGAAGAAGGCAGATGGAAATAAATTAATGAAAGAGATGCCATTTGTTAAAGAAATTGTGCCTTAGCACAACAACAAAAGAGGGTGCTATTAAACTGAGAAACTAAATAAGGCACTCGGACCTCTCCGTTTAGAATGGCTACAATTCCAATAAAAACTATGATTTTTTTTTTTTTTTTTTTTTTTTTTGAGGCGGGGTCTCGTTCTGTCGCCCAGGCTGGAGTGCAGGTGGCTCTATCTCGGCTCACTGCAAGCTCTGCCTCCCAGGTTCATGCCATTCTCCTGCCTCAGCCTCCCAGGCAGCTGGGACTACAGGCGCCTGCCCCCATGCCTGGCTAATTTTTTATATTTTTAGTAGAGACAGGGTTTCACGGTGTTAGCCAGGATGGTCTCGATCTCCTGACCTCGTGATCCGCCCGCCTCTGCCTCCCAAAGTGCTGGGATTACAAGCGTGAGCCACCGCACCTGGCCAAAACTAACTATGAATTTAAATAAAGAGAATTCAATATCTGTATGGAATTTATATAAGAAGAAAACAAGGTGAAACTCAAAATTTTCAGCAGGCATAAATGCTAGTAACAACCACAACCAAAAAAAATTGTGAAAAAGGAAAAAAGCTACACTCAACAATATAAATTAAATATAGTTAGACAAATCATAATGGAAATGAAAAAAAAAAAAGCCAGGAAGATGTAAACAGGGAGATGACAAAACTCAAGAAAAAATGAAGAAAAAGATTATAATAGAAAGAATACATTACATTATTTATTAATTGAATGATCAGGGTTAGAATAGCTATAATCAAATTATTACAATAAGTAGCATGGAAAATAGTAATGAAGTAAGGGGTACATAAAATACCAATGACAAGAATCTAAAAATAACAAATTATAATAGGGATTAAATTTAAAGTGATCAATCTAGAACACAGGCAAAGAAGTTTCAATATATGTATTATTGGAGTTATTGAGAAGTGAAACAGAGCAATGACATGGAACTAAAGTTTAAAAGTATATTGAGAGAGTTTCTTAATACAATTAAAAGAAATATGACTGAATATACATATAAGTAGAAGTTGCTGGTCAGCTCTGAAATATATTCTAGTAAAATCAAAAGTAAAAACTAAATAAAGTAAATTTAAGAAAACTTTAAAAATAAAGTGAAAAAACTTTTTTTCTGGACATCTAAGTGAAAAACAAATAAAAACTAAAAACAGGTAATAACCAATTTGGCATATGACTTCTCAAGAGAAACAAAGTAAATATCTTAATATTTTAAATCCAGGAAAGAAAACACAAGCCAAGAATTCTATATCTAGGCAAACAAATCTTATAGCATCAAGGCTATAGAAAAATAAATTTAAAATTGTCAAGAATATTATAATCACAAACCCTTTCCAAAAAGTCAATGGCAGAATAAGGCTGATTCAACCAAATAAATATTGGGGAAATTGACAAATGTGAGGTGTTGAGTATGTTGTACTGTAATTCTAATCCTGAAACAAAAGTTGTTCAAAGGCTAAAGGAAATGTTATATACTCTTCCAGAAAGTAAATAATGCAACTGAAAAGTGAGAGAAGGAAGGAGGGAGAAAGGGAAAAGTATAAGAAACTAGTTGATTGCTGCATAGGTAGTACAGGAGAATTCATGGATACTATTTAATGCTAACAAATGGAATAAGACTTGGTGGTTTTTTTAAAAAAGTAGGGACGTTATATAAACTGATTGGCAAAAGTTATTTAAACAAAAATGTAAACATTTTTAGTATATCAAAACAACTTTTAAAAACCAAAGAACTGAGTAATGAAAGACATGGCAAATATAACATACTACATTAAAATACTCAAAGTAATATAATAGAGTTGAAGCCAAATATATGAATTCTATCAATAAATGCAAATAGGCTTAGCTCAATTAAATACTAAGGTTTTTAGATGACTCATCAATCAACACTTAATTCTATGCCCTTTATGTGAGGCACACTTTAAATACATTGACTGAGAATGATTAAAAATAAGGACCAGGAAGAGGTATACTAAGCAATTATAGACAAAAATAAGACAGAGGTTTGGATCTTGATAAAGGACAAACAGAATTCGGTTAGGGAAGATAGCATTAAATGTAATAGTAAATATTATAAGGCCCATAACTTAAAGTGAAGACTTAACAGCTATAAATATTTATGCACCGAATACCACAGCTACGATCTTAGTAATGGATTTTCAAAGTAAAACACATAATTAATGAAAGATTTTAATACATAAATTATAGTTCAAGACAGATTAAATGACTCTCCCATCAGAAAACCAAAAAACTGTAATCAATAAGTTAGATCTTGTAGCTGTAGGAGAGTATCAAATCTCAGTACATTAATAGTTCCATCTGAGTGCACATAGAAATTCATAAAATTTGGCAACTTCCATAACCTCCACAAAACTAGAAATAATAACATTATATGATACAATGAAATAAATATGTATACGTGAGAATATGTGGTATGTAATTATAAGCAATCACTAGCAGGTTTATGAAATTATGAACTTAGAAATAAATGAAATATTAGAATAAAAGAATATACAGCTCAAAAATAATCTAGAAACAAGGTGAATGTAAAGGAAGATTAAGAAAATAAAAAAATCAGGATAAAAACATATTGAGTTAGGAAATAGTAACAATATTTAATAAATCAAAAATTTGGTTCTTTGAAGAAAATAGACTGTATTAGTCCATTTTCATGCTGCTGATAAAGACATACCAGAGGCTGGGAAGAAAAAAGTTTAATTGGACTTATAGTTCCACAAGGCTGGAGAGGCCTCAGAATCATGGTGGGAGACGAAAGACACTTCTTATATGGCTGTGTCAAGAGAAAATGAGAAAGAAGCAAAAGCAGAAACCCCGGATAAACCCATAAGATCTCATGAGACTTATTCACTATCATGAGAATAGAATGGGAACCTCCCTCATGATTCAAATTATCTCCCACCAGGTCCCTACCAAAACATGTGGGGATTATGGGAGTATAATTCAAGATGAGATTTGGGTGAGGACACAGCCAAACCATATCATGGACAAACCTATTAGTTTATATAACCAAGAGAAAAGGGAGAATGTTAAATGCCCAAAATATAAGTAAATAATGAGACTACTTTGTATTTAAATTACAAGTAGAGAAAACCTCAAATTTGTATAGCAAATAAATTAGAAAATATGGATGAGATAGATACATTTCCAGGCAATTTATCAAAACTGACTCCAGTAGAGTTTAACATACAAGATTTCAAAGAACAAATGGAGAAAGTTACCTCTACCAAACTATTCAAAGGTAAAGAAAAATAAGCACATTATTGGGAATGGGGTATCCATCCCCCCAAGCATTTATCCTCTGAGTTACAAGCAATCCAATTACACTCTTAAGTTATTTTAAAATGTACAATTAAGTTATTATTGACTATAGTTACCCTATTGTGCTATCAAATAGTAGGTCTTATTCATTCTTTTTAACTATTTTTTCGTACCCATTAACCATCCTCACCTACCCCATCCCCACATAAACCTTCCCAGCCTGTGGTAACCATTCTTCTGCTCTCTATGTCCGTAAGTTCAATTGTTTTGATGTTTAGATCCAACACATCAGTGAGAACATTCTGAGCCTGATTTATTTCACTTAACACAATTTCACATTGCATGCCTGTTTCAAAATATCTCATGTACTCCATAAACATATATAGTCACTATGTACCCACAAATTTTTTTAATTAAAAAAAATTAAAAAAAAAAGAGAAAGAGACCAGGTCTAGATGATTTAATACAGAATTTTTTCCAAACTTTCAAATAACAAGTAACCCCAATGCCTCTGATGCTATTCCGTAGCACATAAAAGAAGAAAAACTCAGTTTTTAATGAAACAAACATAACATCACTACCATGGCCAGATATAAGTTGCATGAAAAAAAGAAATAACAGAATTAAGATTATCTATGCAAAATTCTAAAGAAAATATTAGCAAATAGGCTACAATAGTATATTAAAAATATTGACTAAATTGGGTTCATTTCAGACATGAAAAGGAGTTTAAATATTATAACATTTAATATAGTTAATATAAAAATATTTATTAGTATAATTACTGGGCCAAAGTTAAATGCCAATACAATTTTGTTAGTCATTTCCGAAATTTCCCTGTCCAGGAGTTGTATACTTTTGCACTCTTACTACCAATGCATAGGAGTCTTTTTGCACAGTTTTCCTATATTGTCAAAGGTATGTTTTGAAATCTGCAGTTTATTTAAATTGTGAGGCTAAAGATCTTTTAGTATGTTTAAGGGCTTTTGTCTTTTCCCCCCCATGAAATAAACTTACTCTTTTTTTTTTTTTTTTTTTTTTTTTTTTTTTTTTTTTTGCTGCACATTCTATTAGTTCTCTTTTGGAGGCAGGTGCTTTTGTTTTTCAACTTTTAAGAACCCCACTTTATATATTAGAGGCCAGCACTATAACTATAATTTTATGCTGCAATTATTATCCCCGGGTTTTTCATTTGTCTTTTCATTTTGCTTAAAGTCTGGAGGCTTGAAGATACACCACCACAAATGTGCATTAACATATATCACATGCATTCTTTATAGCAACAGACTGGAAACAAATCCAATGTTAATCAGTAGGAGATGGGTTGAATAAATTATGAATTATTCACAAAGCAAGGTTCTTAAAGTCATAAAAAATAATGAGTCCTATGAACTATTTTTGAATTATCTCTAGAATATATTTTTAAGGAACAAAAAGCCACTTTCAGTACAATGCAAATAGATAAATAGGGAGAAGAAAAACAAGGAATGGTTTATATATTCGAAAGTTAAATGGACTGAGAAAGAAGGAAACAAACCAGATAAATGAAAATAAACTAAAGCAACAAAACTGTATGTAAATTTTATAACAATCAGACAGAGAAAAAAAAAATTCAAGTTACCTTCAGCTCTGATTGCACTTTCTTAGTGGGATATATTCTAAGGGGGAAAAAAAAGAGCTACAAAGAAATCTTAAACAGCCAGTAATTTCATTGTTATTATATTAGTTTAGTGATTTTAAAACTGTTTTTTGAATATTATAGGATAGAAAACTAAACATGATAACGTTATTAGAAAACAAAATTTTGGGAACAAAATGTTTGGAAGAAAAGAGATTCAAAATTTCCAAATGAATTTGTGCACATTGGAATGGCCCAAGATGTAATGACTCCCCAGCAGCAACGACCATACCTAGTGTCCCCACCAAGAAATCTGATTCTCCGGTCGGGCGCGGTGGCTCACGCCTGTAATCCCAGCACTTTGAGAGGCCGAGGCGGGTGGATCACGAGGTCAGGAGATCGAGACCATCCTGGCTAACGTGGTGAAACCCCATCTCTACTAAAAATAAAAAAATAAAAAAAATAAAAATAAGCCGGGCGTGGTGGCGGGCTTCTGTAGTCCCAGCTACTCAGGAGGCTGAAGCAAGAGAATGGTGTGAACCCGAGAGGCGGAGCTTGCAGTGAGCCGAGATCGCACCACTGCACTCCAGCCTGGGTGACAGAGGAAGACTCTGTCTCAAAAAAAAAAAAAAAAAAAAAATCTGGTTCTCCAAGAAACCAGGGCTCATAGGAGAAATCGGTGATTGTCAGTAAGGAGCAGGTAAGCCTAGCATATCTAATTCCAGGAAACATTTGAAAATGTAAAAGAAACATGAGGTTTAATTGAGGAAATTTTTATGTAGAATGGATATTAAATGAAATTAGAAAAAAATACTAGTTTTCTTAGATGATAATGAAATTACAGGTTAAAAAAATTTTTTTAAGGAGACGCATGCTCACATACTTAAGAATAAATTATCACAATATTTAAAATTTACGTTCAAATGATTCATTTAAAAATACGTGATATATGATATATACATGATAACATGGCAAAATATAAACAAAAGTTGAGTCTAAGTGATAGGTACACTGGTGATCACTGTACTTTTCTTTTAACTTTTCCAAATGTCTGAGCTTCACAATGAAAAGTTAGAGAGAATGACTTAAGGGACCTAACGACCAGTTGAGATATGTGGTAGTAAAATGTATATTGGATAAAACATTTGCCTATTCATTTGTCAAATGGGGACACTTGAGAAATGAGAAAAGTCAGTTTAAAATTTTACTTTATTAAGAATAAAGTTTATGCTCTCTTGTAGTCCCAGAGGATCACAATAATTCAAGACCTACAGTTTGGTAGAGTTAGTTTTAGCCATCCTGATGTGAGACCTGGTTAAAGAGAACATGTCCATAGTAGTCTCTTCACATCAGGTGTCTGACTTTAATCAGTCTTAGCTGTGGTGTTTCATCCAAGGTGGCTGGCTGAAGGATGTCAGATATGGACATCCTGTGAGCACTGAAAGAGAATAGTAAGGAAAAAGTCTCCTAGGTATTAGTAAAGGGGCTATAGTAGGTGAGTGTGCACTTCTGTGATACCCTAGGATGAGAACCAGATCATCAGTGGATATTTCAGGAAATATTTATCTAGTATGGGGTGAAGTCCATTCTCATTTACTAAGGAGCTAATATTAATTGGGGAACAAAGGTTAATATGCACAAAGCACTTGAAAAAATATAAAATCACATGTATTATATGCATGTGTTATAGAGAATAAGTGGATGCTATAAAATGGATGCTATCTTGCATTGTCTTTTTTCCTCCTGTTTTCATGATACTAAAATCAACCTTATTGCACTATTTCCATATTATTTTCATCGCTATCATTAGCTTTGAAGTTTAATAAAATTTTATAAAGATTTTATTTATTTTTAAATCCACAGTAGATAAGAAATACTTGTTGAATCCAGGCACAGTGGCAGTGTATGCCTGTAGCCTCATCCTTTTGGGAGTCTGAGGCAAGACCACTTGAGGCCAGGAGTTCAAGGCTGCAGTGCACTATGATTGCTCCTGTGAGTAGCCACTGCATTTCAGCCTGAGTAATATAGCAAGGTCCTATCTCTTAAAGAAAATAAAAAAGAGAGAAATACTCTTTGAGAGATGGTACAGGGTGGTAAAAAATCAGGCATTGTTTTATGAACGATATTGAAAGTTATTTGGTATAATGTACACCTCCTCCAAGTCCAAATAATCTGACTTAATTTTCAGAAATTTTAAATACTAAGGAGAAAGTTGTAAATCGTATAGACTTACCAGTTTACAATATTCTTTAATATACAGAGTAGAAGGCAGTGAAATAATTTTTATTTCTATGTTGCATGTGAATAACTGAGGCACAGAGATGAAGTGATTTGTCCAAATCTCCTCGCTAGTAAAGAGGAAGGCTAAATGGCCTACAAGTTCACCCTCTTTCTTCTTTTCCATGATGTTTTTTTGAGCGGCTGAATGTCATCAAACTAGTTTGTAGTTGTAGGTCTAGGCTAGGGCTCAACTTGACTGGTGATGAAGTAGGGAACCGACACTTGACAATCATGAATTCCTTTTGCCTAATGTGCTTTGCAGGATGAGACCTGGTTAGGTGTGTTTTTCAGGTTGTAAATGGCGTTGGGTCATGATAACTGATTTCTGGCTTCTTTTATTTTAATGATGGTTGGTGATTCACATTCTTTTCAATTCACATGAGAAGAATGGTGCTTCACTGTTGACTTCACATGAATATAAGACATCTTAATGAGTTTTGGCACCTGGAGGGCATTTCTGCCTTGGTTGCTTCTGAACCTCCATGGAATCCTGTGCCAGAATCAAGCTTTCCAGCATCATTGCTCTTTTTAAGGAACTGTTAAAGGAGGCTGAGGGCTCTTGAACTTTTGATACTGATGGGTAGTGAGACACTCTTTTAACTTAATAGGTTCTTTCCACATTTGCTAGGCTGTATTTATTTTTTAATACCAGCAGCCTGGGACATCTGGAGGGGATCCTTGTGTATAATTCAGTAGGCAGACTCTTTTCCTGCCTGTTGTTTTAGTCCTTTGGCTTTGTTTTTCATTTCAATTTACAACTATCTGTGCATAAAACACTTGATCTGTGTAGCTAATGTCCTAGAATGGAAGCTAAATAAATGTTCTCAATCTTTTCTTTCTGTAATAGTGATTCTCCAAACAAAGAATTTTACAGTGAGGAAGGCAGAAGTTTATCTTTATATCTGCTTAATTTAAAGGGGTTGAACATATTTACCTCATTCAAATACCTACCTGTGACTCACCTCTAATGTGTATGTGTCCATGTATTCATGTATTGGCTCATTTTTATTCATAAGCTGAGATATTTGATTTATTTATGGTTTTCAGCTTTCAAACAAGAGATGCTCAATCAAATAGAATTTCTTTTTAAAAATTGAACAAAGTAAGTTTAAAAATCATTCACTCTATCACTATATATAAAGTTATTTTTCACTTGTTTTTAGCAAAAGACATAATTTTTTCTTCGTTGTTCTACCAAGTAGTAGAAAGAATGGAGTATGCCCTGTATTCTCATAAGGGAAGTAGTTGACAAGGACTATGTGTTTTTATGTGAAGGGAGAACCAATTTTTAAATAACAGATAGTTTTTTTAAATCACAGAGTATAGCCAGGTGTGATGGATCATGGCTATAATCCCAGCACTTTGGGAGGCTGAGGTGGGTGGATCACCTGAGGTGAGGAGTTCAATACCAGCCTGGCCAACATAGCAAAACCCCATCTCTACTAAAAATTAAAAAATTAGCCAGGTGTGGTGGTGCACACCTGTAATCCCAGCTACTCAGGAGGCTGAGGCAGGAGAATTGCTTGAACCCAGGAGGTGGAGGTTGCAGAGAACTGAGATCCCGCCATTGCACTTCAGCCTGGGTGACAAGAGTGAAACTCCATCTCAAAAAAAAAAAAAAAAATTCACAGGGTATATACTGACAGAGTGAAATGGGAAGGACAAGAAGGATGAAATAGAGGAAGAATGGGACAGAGGGACCATTTTAAAATATAGTGTATTCATAGACGATTGGAGGTGTACTAAGGCCAACAGAGCAGGAAATGACTGCCATCAAAAATAATTTGTTGCTCGCAGTTCCCAAGAGGTGGGGCATGTGCATGCCAGGCCACCTGGGGAAGCCCTGGGGTTGGTTAGGAGGTGGAGGAAGAGGAAGAAACCATAGGTAAGAGCCTTTGTGGTGGTTTCTGTGGGAAGGAATGGGTGAAGCAGGGTAAGCAGGCTGTGGTTGGCTAGCTTGAATCATTTCAGTGACCTCTAGGGCATAGGAGTTTTCCCTGGTCGTCTGCTCCCTGTTCCTGGGGTGATTGGGTCAGCATCCACCTGCCCAAGAGTTGAGAGCCTGATAAAACAATGTTGGGGTGTGGGTTCTGGACTGATGGGTCTGTATTTGAAAAGAAAGCTAGTGGGTGAATTATTTACTATCTCTAGGAATTGGCTCTCCTTGGGATCGGCAGTCCTTCTAAGGGCAGAAGGCCTCAGATGTCCTAGCACTATAGTAAAGAAAATAAAAGACATGGCTAATACAGGGAGGAAGGAAAAGAGAGCTAGAGGTAAGTTAAGAAGGAAGATACACAAAATGCCCTCCAACCTCTAATGATGTTTTAGAGATGTTATTAATACAAGTAAGACACCAAGGTTTTCCTTGACATATCCAAGAAGTTTTAAGCACTCTCTTTTCTTGGCCCCCACAAGCGTTTTTAAAGTTCTGCTATAACAACACTTAATATGGTGCCTCAGATTTTAATTATTTTGTGGATAGCTGTTTTCTCCACTGGACAAGTGGCCCTGGAAGTTTGTACTTTTTCATCTCCTTTGTATAGCAGTGTCTAGCACATTCCACATTCTTATAAATGATTGAAGAAGGAGCAGAAATGAAGAGAAGAAAAACAGAGTAAAAAAGGAATATGCTAAGTTTCCAAAGACTGCTAGTGTAACAATGGGATTTGAGAGGAAATCTCTAGGAAAATATCAAATGACACAATTATTTTATAGAGAGGAGGCTAGGAACATGAGTATTGCCCAACAAAGTATATACTTTAAATCGCTAATGCCATCTATCTTGAAAGATACCTGGATCTCTAGCCTCTTGTTATGACTGATCCAAAGGTTGATACCTACATGGAGTTGTTGGGGAATGTTAAAAAAAAAAAGTTATCACAAGTGAAAGAGCTCATAATCATGTGTAATATATAGGAATGTTGATGTTTGGACATGAAAAATGAGGATGAAGCATTATTAAAAGTTCAGTTGCTATACTATAAAATCAAAAAGGAGTGAAACAAATATGAGTACCAAATAAATTAAGATGGGTATCTGTTTTTCCCAATGAAGGAAATAAGCTGGTGTGCAGTGATTCACCGAGCTAAAGAGAGAATTTATCAGCAGAGTGATCATGAAGGCTTAGTGTAGCCATATCTGCTACCATCAGAGTCTGACTGCAGTTTGTGTATGTGTGTGTGTGTGTGTGTGTGTGATGGAGTCTCTCTCTGTCTCCAGGCTGGAGTGCTGTGGTGCGATCTTGGCTCACTGCAACCTCCGCCTCCTGGGTTCAAGTGATTCTCCTGCCTCAGCCTCCTGAGTAGCTAGGACTACAGGTGCGCGCCACCATGCCCAGCTAATTTTTGTGTTTTTAGTAGAGACAGGGTTTCACCATGTTGGCCAGGATGGTCTCCATCTCTTGACTTTGTGATCCGCCCGCCTCAGCCTCCCAAAGTGCTGGGATTACAGGAGTGAGCCACCGCGCCTGGCCCCGGCTGCAGTTTGAAAGGAAGACACATATGGAGGGAAATTGCTAAATTTGAAATTGAGTGCCTTTAAAAGAGGTGGTCTCCCATTGTGAGAATCTAAATATAGGAGTTGACAGAGTAGGAGTTGTCCAATTTAGCCACTCACATCCATTGAGTTCTTGTTATTTCATATTTCCTAGGATACCTAAAGACCTTTGCAGGAGCTTTCATGGGGTCAGGAATAATTGTTAAAACAACGAAATGGACCCTATACCAAGGATTATGTGAAGCCAATAAAAAGCTGTTTGTGAAAACAGAAAATAGAACTTATATTCTTTCCCAGTCAGGTTTTGATTTACTGGTTATTTTACCTTCTGGTCTCTGTGGTATAGAATCAATAATTGATCATCTAAAACAGTGGTGGCAAATAGGTTTAAACTTTCTTGTTAACTCCAAAGGATTGGTAGAAGCTGCCTGGAGTCTTGCATTAAGTAATATTCTGAGGCTACATCTCAGCTGAGCTATGAAGTGCTCTGAGTTCAATTAGCAGTGTCCACCTTGGACATCGTAGTTAGGAACAGAGCCATTTGTGACAAGTATTCATCATTCCACTTCCAAGTACCCTCATCTATTTCTTGGGTAGTTTAATAATAATATTTTCAGGCAAAAGAACACGTTAAATAATTTCTCATGTAATTCTATGAAAGTTATATCTCCATTTGATAATAGTAAAGTAAAACATATTAAATTTGCCTAGAAATTTTCATATATTTTTAAATGATAGATTAAAATGATCCATGATTTGCATAAGAGGTACTGTGAAATCACTCTGTCCCCACTTGAGACCTGAAAGCCCACTTGGACAACTACAGAACCTGTGTGATCACAATTGTATTATGCATTCCCCTCAACCTTCTGCCTCACTGACATGAAAATATTCAAATCAGTTTTATGCTAGTCTAAATTAGCCACTAAAAAAGGCAAAATCATCTGTCAGCAAGATCTATGTATCCTTTCCTGTCTAGAATGAGATTTCAAAATACATTTGGTCTTTTTTTAAATCTCTCCAGTTTCCATTCATTCCCATTTCCTTAGCTTTAATCCTTGGAGGGATTGAGTAAAGTATGAGCCCTTGGAGTAGAACAAAATAAATAAGCAAATAAATATATAGCTTAAGCCAATCTAATTCTACTTCATATCAGGTTCCCTTGGAGTTTCAGATGGCTGATTGGCAGTGGACCACTGACCCCAAATTATACTTGACTTGATTTAGTTTTTATCATTATCTTTGTGTAGTCAGTAGAGACTATTTTACATTAAGCCTACCTCCCCAAAGTAAAATATTTTGAGTGCAGAATATACTTATAACTATGTGTTTTTATTCATTTATTATTGCTTAGGTATTTGCTCATTTTGATTTTCTATCAAATTGCCTGTCTGTCCCCTAGTCTTCATTTGCTTATGTTACAGAGAAAGAAGTAATTAAAATCTTCTTTAAAACAAGCAGAAACCTGTTTTTGGTGTTCTTTGAAAATATTCAAAAATTAGTGACATTAATATAAATGCAAAGATTGAGAATTACTGCCTCCTCTTTGTATCATGCTCCCTAGGGAATTACTGTAGAATTTGTGGATATGTGTTTCAATAGAAAACTATGCTCTGTCTGTAGCATATTTTTCCAGATTATGTGATTCTAACTCTGATTATTGTCTTTGAAGTACTTTGCAATTATTTATTAGTTGTGGATAACTAATGGATACTTAGATGGTGTCCTGTTTGGTAATGATTTTAGTTGATTTTCTCCCTTCTGGAAAATGCACTTTTGTCCTCATTTGCAAGCCAAAACAACATTCCTTTATTTCATTTAAATTTGTGCTTTTTTAAAGCAATATTAACATTTGCTTGGTTTGCTCATATCAAATAAGTACAGTAAAATCTTTAAAGCATGTTAATTTCTGTATTTGTATGACAGCCATGATTTTAATGTTTCCTGAAAACTATCTTTCAATACTGCATTTGGAGGAATTAGTGATTTCTAGTATTATATTAATTTGATCAAATATAAATGAGATCAATAATTATTCCAGAGTTAAGACATGTAATTTTTGAAGCAGTTTAGAGTTTTGAAATTTATTTCAAATAGACTGTTACCTCTTTTTCCTTTTTCTTCCTCCTCTTCTCTTCTTTAGTAACAAAATCGGTTAAGTTGGACAGATATTTTCTTAATGTAGTGACAATGTTAAATTAAAGAGATTACCACTACAAATATTCAGAAAATGTTGTCTTTTTAAATTTACTACAGCAAACAAATAATTCTTACACTGTAAAGTTAACCATAATCTCAGTGATAGAGTAAAGTGCTAAATTATCTCTACTGGTGAATAGCCCGCCAGCTTTGCAACCTGGGTACTTCCAATCTTCCAGCATTTGCTCAACTGTCTTGAGAGAAACTAAACACATTTCTTAAGAGGAGAGGAAAAAAATTCTGAGTTTAATTTTAAAATATTACTAGGGAAAAGGCGAAATAGAATGAATGCTTGTGCAGCAGCTGAGAATATACACAAAGGCATTATTTAACTTAAAGTTTTCATCGCAAAAAAAAAAAAAAAGGATCATGCCATCTTTTCCCTTTTATGTTTCCTCCCAGGAAAGTTAAGCATTATTCTTTCAATTTGAATTTCACCTTTCTTCTTCTTCTTTTTTTTTTTTTTTTAAACTAGCTTTACTAGTCACCTAACTCCCCACCCCATACCTTTATGTGTTAAGAATTCAAGTTATTCTGACTTTTCTCAAAGTTTTGTTTTTTAAGTTAATGTTTCTTTGTGTAGTTACTTTTCATTAAACTCACTATATTTGCCCCTTACCCACCATGGGCCATAAGAAGATAAATATTAGGCTTGAACATTTTGATTTAATTGACCATTTCTTCTTTTTTAAAGTTGTATGGAGACAGAAATATAATCTTACACCTAATATTCATAATTTAATTGACCAAATGTTTATTTAGTTCATACTGTGAACTGTTTAGGGCATGAGAACACACTAGTGAAAGTTGTAGGGCCCTTGACAAGACACAAATGCCTAACCACAATTTTAAGCAAACAGGCCGATACCACAAGAGGAGAAATAGAAACTGAAAATGAGAAAGATTCAAGAAACAAAAAAAGAAATAAAATGATAAAAGTATTTGAGAAAAACAGTAAGCAAAAAAATTCAAAATAGGTACTATAGTAGTGCCTCCAACTTCTCTTTTCCTCAAATAAAAAGGCAGGAAACACTACAGTCACTAAATGATACACTTTTAAAACAAAACAAAACAAAACCCATCAACTGTCCTAAAATTTAAAAATATATGTATTTAAAATTACAGTTTGAAAGAATACATTTGTATTTGAGAAAATTGACTCAGAAAAACCGATATCAAGGTATATTAAAGTAACATTATCAGACATTAAAGAAAAAGTACAAATAATTATTAAACATTCATGAAAATCACCCAGTTACTTAGAAGAAACTCATATTTTTATCAGCTTTTAAATAGCAACACTTTATATCAAGAGAATTGGAGCACTGCACTTTTTTCAATTCTTTTACATATTTTTAAAACTGTACAGATTAAGGGGGTACATGTGATATTTTATTACACATTTATAATGCATTATAATCAAGTTAAGATACTCATAGACAGAAAATGTGGGCCAAAAACTAAGTCAAGCCAAATTGACTTCCCATTGTAAAGCCCATTTTTATCTGTATCCAAGAATTTAGAAAATATTGTTCCTGTAAATCCCTTCTGTGCCATTTACTGGAACATGAACTTCAGAGAAAATGACCAAAGACGGATTGACATAAATACTGGGGATGATTGTTAATAAAATATTTACTCATTCAACTAATACAAAATGAGGACTATATGAAAAGAATATAGTATGTCATGTTGATATGCTCTGACAATGTAAATATGCAAAAATTGAGAGAGAAGTGGGAAAACATAAGCAAAAATCTTTTTAACTACTTTGAATAATCATTTTGATTGGTGATGTTAATATTGGTATTGTAATTCTGGGGTTGTTGTGAAGGTAACACATGGGATGGCACAAGTACATAATTATGTGGCATTTTATTTATCTTCTCTAGTGATCTTGAAAATCACATTCTCAGGGTAGAGAAATGAGATATAGATATAAAATAAATGAGCTTCTGTCAATACCCTGCCGTTTTGAAATTGAATGGCAAGTCGTATTATTTTCAGATCGTGAAGAATTTTCTCTTTGAAAGTATGTGTGTATGTGTGTGTGTGTTCCAGACCTGCTCTTTGAAAATGTCAAAATAATGCCTAGCCTAATAGTAATGAACATTCCTGAAGTCCAAATGCAGCATAGTAAAAACAATTTTCCTCTTAAGATAAACTTAAACAAATAAAGGCATCTTGGAGTAATATGTGATTCCAGAGATCTGGGTCGACGTTTTCAAGATAATCCAGAAACATCTTGTCACTGTAGATATCACTGAAGCTATCAGAGACTAAAAGGGTCATGGCTAATGGACTTAGGAGCCAATTTGAAGAGGCCCAGTGTCTAAAGAGGTGACAATTTGTCAATAGGATAATAACTAATGTTTTGGTAAACATGAAGTATGTCTAAATGTGTGAGTTCAAAGTGGACTTCATAAATAAATTAATTGGTCAACTTTAGAAGTTGGCATAAAACCAAATAAATATTTCAAAGCCAATAAATAAGGAAAAGAGCTAAGTTGTTCTAAATTAAGAGTTGTTCTACTGGGTAATTACATAGGAGATGCAGAAAAAATGTCTCTTCATAGGTGTAGTCTAGCTAATAATTGAAGAAGCAATGATCAAATTAGAATATTACCTTTTTTTGCAGTGCCTAATAGGTTTTAAGCATCAGTTGCTGATAAACCTACAGAATGAAAGACAGCTCTGTGGACCTCTTGACTGAAGAAAACAACACCAACTATGAGATAATTTTTAAAAAATCAAATCAGAATCTGATCAATCCTTTATATGTAATTTGCAAGTTACAGAAAATACAGAAAACAATGAAACGTGAAATTCCACTACAGAGCTACAATAGAAAAAGACATCCTGTGGAAACTACAAGTTAAATTACCCAGTTCTTTAACATATAGATTATAGGGATATTGGGGGGGAGGGGCAAGAGAGGGAGTGGACAAAAAAGAGAGATTGGGGTAGGGGGAGAGAGAGAGAGAGAGAGACAAAGTTTTTAAAACAAGTAACTGTACTATTTAAACATTTATTCTGGTAATAAAGCTATAATGAAAAACAAGTAAATAATTTCTTTAAAAGTCAGATTAGACTTTTAATTAGAAGGAAGAGTGGCGATTGGCTCTAGGGTAGATGGCAAGTTCTATTTCTTCCCCTGAGTTGTGGTTACAAAGGTTATCCTTACAATAATAATTCACTAAGCTACCATTTGAATTACCTTTTTCTGAACCTATATTACGTTTTACCATAGAAAGGGTTGAATAGATATTGAGTAGCTCACTGAATTTTTTAGAGAAGTGAAACCTCACTAGGCTTGAGATTAAATTTCCAAAATTAATGTTAAAATCACAACACAGAACTATCTGATAGGGAAACTGCTGTTGCTGTGGCTTGTTACCCAACGATAGGCTATATGCAACTGTAGAAAGTATAAATCCTACTGGCACCAATGCCACTTCTGCATCAGGAGCCTGACCTAGCCTTATAAACTACTTCCTACTTCCAAATACACATGCGCACACTCATACCCAACCCCCACATTACCCCCACACATGAGAAAAATGAATTTTGTACAGATTCTCCTTTCCCATATTGAAGTCTCATGTGATGAGAATAATAGCAGAGCCTCTTTGTGGGGAGGAACATTTTCCTTAGGAAACGATTAGCATGCTGTATGACTGAACACTTTTACTTTTTATTTTCAGAAAGGAAAAAGGCTATGCTGTTTCTCTATTTATTTTTTCATTATTTTTATTTTAAAGTTTACAAAATAAATGCACAGGGAATACATTACGGTCTTATGTTCTCAACCCAGTTAATGTTCATATTTTATTACTTTATCTTATTTTATGTGTAAATGATGTAAGATGTAACACTTGATGTCTTCCTTGTTTCCTTCTCAAATTCAAAATCTCTCTCTCTCCCAGAGGCACCATTTAAACAGATTTTGCAAATATTTCTCCAGTCCATGTGTACCGCACATGAACAAGAATTTTGCTAGAGGACCACAATTAGAATATTTTTGGGTCATGGGGAAGCATAGTGTCTACTTTTATAGATACAGCTAAATTTCTCATTGATGTGGATACACCAGAATTTGAGCATTCTTTTTTTCCTATATCCCTGTCTGCTTGATACTTTTAGACTTTTCAGCTTTTGCCAACTTCGTTAAATAGACTCTCACTTTAATTTGTGTTTTCTGATGTTCCTGTTAGCACGGTGTATATCAGCGAAACATTGGGTTTTTAATTTCTTAAGAGCAAACCATACATTAGTCTAATTGATAATTGGATTGTTGGTAACTCAAAGGATAAATGCTTGAGGAGATGGATAACCTGTTTTTCAGGATGTGCTTATTTCACATTGCATGTCTGTATCAAAACATCTCATGTACTCCATAAATATATACACCTACTATATACCCACAAAAATTAAAAATTAAAAATAATACTGATAATGAAAATAAAAATAAATGGATAGACAGGTGCTTAACTAGTCCATAGCACAGGAGGTATATTCATTTTGTTCATTTGCCAAAGAGTAAAACACCTAATCTGATCATTATTGTCAATGTATACCAAATGAGGTGGAGAGTCTTGACATGAGCTGATTCTCTGGCTTTTTCTCTCCCAGAAATTAAGAATTTGAGCATGACAAGTATGGGTCCTATATTTGAGGACACTGAACTTGTAAGTTGATGTTAGAACTGAAGTTGCATTTTTGGGTGGCACTTTTGGGAGTTACGAGTGTCAAGGGAATCAGAAAGATGGGACAGAGTCAGGATAGGGGCCCACAACCTTCCTTCTAGTTCTGATTTTAGTTCCAGGTCAAAGCAAAACCCAACTACAGCATGTAACTGTAGCTCTGGAAAGTATCCCCTGAATGCTTATGATAAATCACCTTTTATTTATGGTATGTTAAATGGACAGTTACTTGGACTCAGCAAATCCCCTGTTATTTTATCTGTTTGGATATAATAATCACTCTTCTCAGCAGAGACATTTGCCCTTTATGGCAAATAAATGATAAAAAATGAAGAACAGGCACTTGTGTACCTTCTGGGAAATGTTAACCACAGACTAAATCAGTCTGTGTTACTCTGGGCAGAGTGGAAAATAAAGCAGGTTTGGAATTAAAAGATCTGAGATAGGTTCTCAGTTCTACCTCTTCTTAGCTGTTTGAAATCAGACAACTAACTCTTCTGAATATAAATTACTTTATCTATGAGCTAATGACAATAATATCTACTTTTCAGGATTTTGGTAAAGCTTAATGAGATTAACTGAGATGATAGATGCAAATGGGCTTCATAAAACATGTGATCATAATATAGAAATAATATAATCTGAAGAAAAACCAGAGTAAGAAAGCCAGCACTATAGCCTAATTTTCCTCTGTATTTTTCTTCCTTCTATTTTCTCTGGGTTAGAAACACAAAGCTTAGTTTCCCAGAGTGCTTTAAATTTTGTAGGAAAACATAAACTTTTTAAATGAGGCTTCTTTCTCTGGGTAAACCAGAAAGGAACCAGAAAGGAAAGAAGGAACTCTTAGACATAAGCCATGCTTTTTGGAATTCATCAAGGCTTCCCTTTTCTGCTCTCTTTCGTTAGGGGCTACTTTTTCTTTTTCTTGTCAATAACCCAGCTACCTCGCACAAAGCAGTAAGAAATTCCTAAATAAAGAAATTCTTAGCTGATTTAGATGAAAAGTAGTGTTGCCCTGATAGCTGAGCAAACTGAATATGTCACTTCAGTACTGCATTTGGTAGCATTTTGGGAGTAGGGGTTTAGATATGATTTTCAAGATTAATGAAAGTTGGGATGAATGACAAGCTGGGATTTGATGGGCTCACTTTGACCATTTTCACATAGAGGGATGCGTTCAGGAATTATATTAAGCTAGTGGTTATTAAATATTAATACCAAATTCTAATTATTTTAGTTATTTTCTTATTTTTAAGTATGGTAAATGTACAAAACAGAAAACTTACAACCTTCTTCATTTTTAAATGCACAATCCAGTGTTAAGTACATTCACATTGTGGTGCACCCAATTTCCAGAACTCTTCGCATCTTGCAAAACTGAAACTTTATACCCATTAAATGATAACCATTCTAATTATTTTAGAAGTTCATTCTCTTCAAGTGCTTGGTAAAGCATATACTAGATTAGAAGCAATATATCCTGTGCCTGTGTTCATGTAAATATGTCATTCTTAGTCTATAAACATATAAGCTGTGGGTATAGGTGCAGCTGTGACCAAGTCCAAGAACCATATGATGTACAGCCAGTCCTGGAAATGACATAGAAATACATCAAGAAATGCCCGTCACAAAGATACAGATGTAAGAGAATGGATCCCATGTTTCTCAGGAACAGGTGCTTTGCCAAAAAGCATGACAAGAAGGGCCCGAAGCGGATGCCCACCAACACCACCAAGGCCATGAGTACACATGCTAACCTCCCCGAAAGCCCAGGGAGGTCAAACCCACGATCCCAAAGGGCATCAGCCATGAGCTTGATTGACTTGCTTACATCGCCCACCCCAAGTTTGGAAGGCATCCTTGTGCCTGCGTCTCCAGAGGTCTCAGGCTCTGCTTGCCAGAAGCCAAGGCCAAGGCTCAGTCAAACCAAGGCCCAGGCTGTGGCTGTGGCTATGTCTCTAGCTCCAGCTCCAGTTCCGGTTCCAGTTCAGGGTCCCAAAGGTTCCCAGTCCCCCAGAAGGTTCCTGAGTCGAGGCTTTTGTCTGCCAATGTAAAGATAGAAGGATTGGAGTGACCACTGTGCTGCCCTCTGCATGGAGTTGATGTCCTTCTGTGCTATTTGAACAAATAAACCCAGGGCCCAAAACAACCAACCAACCAAAAAAACAAAACAAAACAAAAAAAACATAGAGAAGAGTCACTGATTCTAAAATGTTTCTGCATACTTTGACACAATGTGCTTGGTGATTAAAAGGACTCTCATAACAACAATTATGTACATCAAAATATCAAAACATGACCTCAGATTTGGTCTAAATGACAAATTTGAATTGATTTAGTTCATTTTGCTGGTTAATGAATCTGTTGTTTAAAATGATGATAATAATAATAATCAGGGCTTTGATTTCCCAGAACATTTTGTTTGGATAGGAGCCAAGTTCCTCTGCTAAGATTCATGAACAGCAGCCTCCCTTTAAGTGGTAAATGGGGACTCTTGGACCCACCTAGAGATGCACATTATTGGTTTTTCTCTGGAGAAACTTTGGCTGACATTTCCCCAAGACGTATGCTTATATAGCAGTAAAATTTTTCCAATTTCATGCTTACTTCAAGCAATTGTCAAAAAATGTCTTTTCTCTATTGCCTTTGCAACCTTAACACCCACAACAACTTGGGGTTAAGTCAATTTCATAAAACAGCAACCTGTTGGGAAGGAAATTGACTAGAAGTGCAAATGGCAAAGGCTTTTTGTTGTCATTTTTTAGACATAGAAAAATGATTGAAATAAAAAGTAAATATAATTGATCATATAGTCTTTCTTATCCTTAACCAACTCGTTAGATTTTGAAGTTTTAATAGAGGTAAGCAAAGTCCTGTATTACCTGCAAGATGGAAATGGAAATGAGTACATGATAATTGATGTATATATTTCTTTCATTCTAGAGCTGCAGAAAATCTAGAGGGATTTTTAACAGATGCTGCTTCTGCTAGCATGATGTGGGTTATTATTCCTGTTATTACTTACTCTTCCATTTAAGGAGAATAGGCAAAACTGTCACAGTAGGAGCAAAAAAAAAAAAAAAAAAAAAAAAGAAGCAATAAAAATGAATGTTCTTCCCTAGATGAGAAGAATTTATTTTGCAAAGTTTGAAATACTATTTATGTAGAGCAAAGAATAGAATAAGTCTTGAACTGTTCATCCAAGGCACTTCCTTGTGATTGTCCTCAATTGGTTAAATTGTTTCTTTATGGAAAATAGTTGAATGTAAAATATTTAGAGGTTTGGTAGAAATAATCTAAGCAAATGTTTATGTTTAATTAAATCATGTCAATCTGCTGAAAATAAATGCTACAATATAGTGTCAGTTTCTCTGAAAAATGCACTGTTTCGACTAAGAAAAAAACTTCTCCCAAACATTTATTGAAAATAAATAACTAGATGGAGATAAACATTTGAAATAAGGAATCAAAGAAAATAACTACTGGTTCCATTTTTCCATCATATATTAATGTACTTACTTTACATCTTTAAGAGTAATGCATTAAAATAAAGATACATGATACACATACATGCAAAAGAGCAAAAGCAAATGGTTTACCATTAATGGAAGGTTGTAGTAAAATCATTTTGATACCATTTTGTGAAATTATTACACATGCAAAGAAATTTAGAAATTAACTAGTATAATTCTGTCAAGCCATGAAAATAAGCAAAGACAAACCAAATGAGAACAAATAAAGGCTATTTATTCAGAGCTTGCTATAGGGAGGGAGTCAGCTGCCATCCCTTGTGTTTTGGCAGAGATTCAAAGGCAGGCAAAGTGGGAAAGCTTTGTAGTGGAAAAAAGGGAAGACTTCAGATATGCATCGACTGGGGGCTATTGGCATGAGGAAGCTTAGGCAGGCCAATTTGATGAAAAGCATCCAATGTGATTAACTAGGGGTGCATATTTTGGTTTCTCTTATTGGTCCTGAGTTGAAAGCAGGGACAAAAATTAGGGAAGATGTTAGTTATTAACCAAGCCCTGGCCATTTTGGGCTGATTGTTACAGGGACTTTTGGCTGGCTTCCTCAATTTTTGCTAGAGATAGCAGTGTGAATTTCTACAAGTCCAACTTTTAACAGGCTGATTTCCTGGGATGGTTATTGTAGATAATGGATGGTTTCTGGGGCAGGTTGCTGCAGGTTGTGAGGTAGAGTTACATTTATGTATAGGATTTAGTTATCGTCCATTTGTATATTCTGTCTCTCAAACCAGTGTGAAAAACAAAATGCATAAGACAATTAAAGAGATGATTTTGTTTAGGATACTGCACTGGGGATAATGTTCATTAGTGAGAAATGTATCAAAGATGAGGGCAAAACCTGAAGTTTTATAGAAGCAAGTAAACAAGTGAGTCATGAGGAAGCATAGAGCTGAGTCTCATTTGTGTGACTGAGGAAGAGTGCATATGGTTATCTTGGAATATGCTAGGGTAGGTGGTCATTTGCTATTAGATCCCAGAGCATAAGGAACTGGGGGGATGTCTACACTTTGCTGACATTCCAAAGCACAGGGCTATTCAACACTGTCATCAGTAAACAGTGGAGTTTTTGAGATAAATCAAAAGCTTACAAATAATTAGTTGTTTGGTCTAATGCTCCCTGTAGCCATTATCTATCTATATGATGGTTCTAGACTGAACAAATTCTGCAATATATTTGTATAGGAACTCAGAGAAGAGCATGATCACTTCTCACAGTTATTTGGGTAGGATTCAAGGACGTATTTACATCTGGACTGGACTCTGAAGGATGGCTCCAGTGTTGTTGAGCATTGCAGATGGATAAAATGGAAGGCAACATGATTTAAAGCATGGCGGTGGTAAAATCTTAAAGGCTCTTTGATGGATCAGCAGCCTGTTATGGCCTTTTAAGGGCTTTGCGTAGGTAAATTTGGCCATGCCTAGAAAATAAGGTGAAGACAGATCCCAAGGGGCCTGAATAATTTGTAGGTCGTTTAGTAGACAATGGAAGCTAGTGAAGATTTTAACATAAGGTAGTAATGTGGCAAAGTGGTTCTTTAGGAAGGTCAATCTCATGGCAATGTAAAGGTTGTAAAGGTTGTCTCTTAGACAGAGACTAATGAGAAATATAGGAAATGCCAAAAATATACTTTTGGCCATGGAAAATACAGGACTGAACCAGAGTGGGGAAAGTGGTTTTGAGAGGAAAACGCAAAGGACAGCTGTGGTTTTTTGCTTGTCCAGTTTATATTCTACTTTCCTCTAGTAATAACCTATCAAAATTATTTTTCCTTTTGGTGAATATTCCCTCCCACAGTCTTTTGTGAGGTTTAGACTTCCTTATTTTGATATGCCTATGGGATAATTCTATGGAGATGTCTGCAAAATAGTTTGATATTTATGTTGGATGCTTAACTTGTATTTCTGGCTTCCACCTTGCTTTCGGCTTCTCCTGTCAGTGAAAGGTACCAGCATCCATCAAGCTATCCTACTTAGAAAGCTACTCCTTCCTCTCTTCTACTTCACAAATCCTGGCAGCAATTAAACCTTATTCATTTTACGAAGTAAATAGATTTAAATCTTACCTCACCTCTATGCTCCCTATCTCAACGGTCACTGTTTTAGTCCAGCCACCTCATCAACTCTTAAACAGACTTCTGAATAATCCTGTTAATGCTTCACATCCCTCCCTTTCCCCATAAATTCATTGCCTACATTAGCATCAAGGAGACATTTAAAGCAAATGCAAATCTGGTCATGTAATTCCTTTGACTCTTCCTATTTTCTCTTACCCTTAGATTGAACTCCTTTACATGGATTATAAGACCTCATATGACTCAGCTCTTTTCTATCTCTCCATCCTGATTGCACGCTTTCTTTATCTCTGCTCCAGTGACATTGATCTTCATTTAATTTCTTGGGTTTACCTGTTTTGTTGTTGTTGCTGTTTCTAAGCTTTTAAATATGCTTTTCTATCTTGTGATGTTCTTTTCCTCTGCCAATATATTTCCCTCTGTATCTCTTCACTAATTCCTATTTATCCTTTAGATACTATTTCATTTTTTTTTCCTTTCATGGGGACAAATTAGCCTCAAGTTTGTAGGAGAGGCGAGGGTTAGAGGTAGACAGGTGATAGAGAAAACTCAAAGTAGGGGGAGCTCCTCAAGGAAAGCACACGAAGCAAAGAGAAAATTGCACAGTGTGGCTCCTTGGAGGGCATCAGTGCTTCATGGAAAGGCAGAACAGCAGGAAAATTTGAGGGTAGCTGGGTAACAGGCACTAAGCGATGAGATCCAAGACAAAGCTAGTGATCAACAAAATCCGGTGCATTATAGAGTCGGCTAGAGTTAAGATCTGAAAAATGTTCTTTGTACTTGCCATTTAGGCATTTATTTTTATCTCCACTATTAGCACAATACTGGGGATAAAAGTCGGGTGGCAGTGAATTACAGTAGCAAAGAAGTAGAGATAGCAAGAATATAATGCTCTTTGAGAGTTAAGGATGGCAAAGACTGGGAAGGAAAGAAATATCAGCATTATGGTTTTAGGAGGATCAAGATGAAACGAGTGGGTGTGTGAGTGTGTATTATGAATTAGATGTAATGTTAATAGGGCCAGGGAAGGAGCGAAGATTAGTATTTTGCTACACGCTCATGCTTCCTATTGGAGGAAGTGTCTTAAGCCAGGTAAGAGGTGGCAGTATGAGACTCATGTCAGGCCTCTGAGCCCAAGCTAAGCCATCATATCCCCAGTGACCTGCACGTATACATCCAGATGGCCTGAAGCAACTGAAGATCCACAAAAGAAGTGAAAAGAGCCTTAACTGATGACATTCCACCATTGTAATTTGTTTCTGCCCCACCCTAACTGATCAATGCACTTTGTAATCTCGCCCACCCTTAGGAAGTTTCTTTGTAATTCTCCCCACCCTTGAGAATGTACTTTGTGAGATCGACCACCTGCCCGCAAAACATTGCTCCTAACTCCACTGCCTATCCCAAAACCTATAAGAACTGATGATAATCCATCACCCTTTGCTGACTCCTTTTTCGGATTCAGCCCACCTGCACCCAGATGAAATAAACAGACTTGTTGCTCACACAAAGCCTGTTTGATGGTCTCTTCACACGGATACATGAGACAACTAAAATACGGGTAATCACAGTTAGTGTTTATCATAATCTTTTATATTGATTTTGGGAAATAATTTAGTTAATATTAATAAGTGATTGTTTATGATATGAAAGTTTTATTGACACTGTAATTGTTTTGAAGATTTTGGGCTTCTATCTGTCAAAACAATCTAAATAGGAAACTTTCCATTTTCTTTCTAAAATGCTCTCAACTTCTCCCTGTAGCCTAGTCTATGCTAGGAAAGCATGGGAGAGGAGAGTTTGTGTGTCAGACCAGCATAGCAATGCAGCTCAAGCACAGCTGTTACTTTCATTCTTCCCAGAGCACAAACTTGGTCCAAAGATAGAATAGGTTGCCTCAGGGAGAAGTGAGTTCCACATCAGTGGGATTGTTCAAGCTTCTGAGAGCTGTTCAGATTGATGGTAGGCCTAGATGATTTTTAAAGGCCCTTCCATCCGCAATAGTCTATGAATCTCACGTTTCCAAATGATTGTAGAGCTTGAATGCAGGCTACACTCCAAGTTAAGAGTAAATAGATGTGAGCTGTTAACAAAGTAAGCAGCGAAGTGGAATATTGTTTTTGCTGGCATGCTTTGTCAAGGATAATCTGCTTTAAGAGAATCAAGAGTTGATTCTATTAATGTTCATTGCTTCTCTTTTTAGACAGATTTCCATCTTGTGCTGACCTTCTGAGGTGTATTTTCAGGAAAAAATAAGATTGAACTTCTTAGTGGAACAGTCATCTTCCTAGTCTCCAGCCTTTCTTAACTTGCTTAATATATTCACATGCATTTTGATGCGAGTCTTATTTCTGAGTTAGTCTACAGCTTTTACTACACCCTCATAGTGTAATGGGTGCCTGGATCCTGATGAATGAATAAAGCTTTGTATTCATGGGCCATTCCAAAGGAACTGGCTGGGTTCATCATCTCCCATTCTGCATGTGGTTGGGTCTGTGATGTCCTCCTCTCCCATAAATTTCTCATCCCTTTGATCACATACCCCCTTCAGATGAGGAAACTGAATTAGAGAAATTGTGAATGGTCCAAGGTCATAGAGTTAATTAACAGAGAGAACACATCATGCACATCAGGAGAAAACATCGATAACAGAACCTTCAAAGGTGATTCGTCAAGCTCCTGTGTTGATGCTGACGTTTGGCCTTGTGCTTAGCATTTCTGCATGCCTAGCACTCTAGGCATATTTTCCATTCTGCACAAATTGTATTACTGCTGATGCCTACATACTAGTAGAACGACTAAACAAGTATCATGAATAGCAAAAATCAAATTTGTCTGAGAAGGCTCAATTCTCCTGCCAAAAAAAAAAAAGGGGGGGGGAAATTGCCTGTACTGAAAAAGAATTCATTAATATTTTTGTTATTCAAATAAGCATGATAAAAGAGGCACAGCCATCAGTTTGAAAAAAATTCTCAAATATTTTCTGAGCTTTTTGCTTCATTAAAGTAAGCAAGGGAAGAAGCCACCACAAAAGATGTCACCTTTCAGCGGGATTTATCTATGTGATAGAAAAAAGATCACCAAAGCTATTCAATAATTTATTTCATGAATGCAAATGGGGGATATCTCACCTAATTTGACTTACAGTTGTCTCTATAATTTTATTGTTACTTCATTTTCTCAATGAACGGTAGTTCTACATTTTTACTGTAGGTAATGAAGTTCATTTTAGAATGAGATACTTGAGCATAATCAAATTCTTAATTTGATTTCTCAGGTGAACAATCACGATAGCATGGAAAGTGCTTTTTCCCATGCATGAACTGAAGATAATTCAATGAAATATAGTTTGACAAATATTTATTGAGTGCCTACTCTGTTTCCAACACTATTACAGGCACATGGTACACAGAAATGGAAGATAGTCCTTGTCCTCAAGGAAGTCTGTCTCATGGGGGGATTTGTGGCCTTGGGTTTCTTAAACTCCGAGTCTCATCAGTTTTAATTTTTACAGCCATTTCTGTTTTCAAAGTTGCAATAATTTTTCATCTTGGTTGATGGATTTCACCAGTTCTGCTCTCTCAGGTTTCATACAACAATATAAAGCATGTGATCTGGAAACATCTTGATGAGTAGCCCTGGTGATATTTCTCAAAAAGCAGTGTCTCTGTTCCACTTCAAAACTTCTTAGTGGAATAGTCATTTTCCTAGTCTACAGCCTTTCTTAACTTGCTTAATATATTTACATGCATTTTGATGGGAGTCTTATTTCTGAATTAGCCTACAGCTTTTATTATAAATAATATTTAATAGAAGATAGTAAGATGAGAATGAAGACTTCAAATTTAGAGTTTCTACTTATTTTCTTACCAGTACTTATCGAAGTTGTCCCTGGATATGGGAACAAAATAAAAGAGCTTATTAATTTACAAAAAGCCAGGAAAAATTAGAGAGTTTATAGAAAACCAAGGTGGCATGTTTTTCTTACTATTAGAAGAGATACTATCAAATAATTGGATATTGCCTTTTCTCACAAGACACAGACATCAGTATTTCACTACACTGAAAAATCAGTTCAGCATTTTATACTGCAATAATCGTGAAGCCAAAGATAAATTATTGAATGAATTAGTCACTGTCTCTCAAACTTTGAGTTTATAGATCACCTGGGAGATCTTGTTAAAATGCAGATTCTGATTTGAAGTTTGAGGTGGGAACTGTTTTATATCTGCTATACCCAATCCAGTATCCACTAGCCACATGCGGCTTTTGAATACTTGAAATGTAGCTAGTGAGATGAAATATTTAATGTAATTTAATTTAAACAGCCACACATTTCTAGTGGCCTCTGTATTTCACAGTGCATAATTAGTCTATCAGAAAAAGTCAGAAAATTAATGAATCATTGTCAGGCTTTAGGGGCTGTCTTATGTTTTCTATTTCTTTTTTCTCTTTGTCTTTTTCCTGTTTTTTAGACAGTAGTCTGTTTGGCTATTCAACAGTCTTGAATTTCCTGGTAGAATCTTTGAAAGGCATGTGGTACTTTTTTTTATTATTTTACTTGTTTTTGACTGATGAAAGCAAAATTAATTTATTAATTAAAATGACATTTTGTTGACTTTCTCATCATAGGTATAGCCAACCCGGCTTAGAATCATTGCATATGAAAACATTCCACAAAAGCTAATAAACTACATTTATTCATGGAAAAGCCTCTTCAGGTGCCAGACATCAGAATAAGTAGACTTTATTTTGAATATATTTTATTTTATGTTTTCACTTAGAACTAAGACTATGTGTCTTTATGCTCTGTTAAATGAGAGAGTAAGAAAAAGTACCAAAGTTAGCAAGTATGATCAGTAGGTAAATCATCTAATCAATAATTACTCTGAATAAGTGTGAAGACCCTTCCATTGAGTAATTAATAGTGAGAAATAAGTCTTCGCTAGGGGCATAAACAAAATCTACCAGCTGAATACATTAAATTGACAATGGCTTTGACTATTCTCTCACTGATTTTAAAAATAATTTATTCTTAATAGATATGTGCATAGTATTTATTATGGGACAGGCATTATTCTAAGTGATTTTTAACTAACACTTGCTTTTTCAATCCTTACAACAATTCTATATGGTAGAGTCTCACCCTCACTGACAGATAAGAAAACTGGATTGTAGGTAAATAAAGTGTCTAGAGTCAGATGATGACAAATAGGAAGCAGGTTTGAAAGCTGGCAGGGCCCATGCTCTAAACCACTGTGCAACGTAGTGTGGCGGGTTCAGTGTTGGTCTAATATTAAAGAATAGCCTTTCTCATATTAGGCTCTTTATTTTCAGAATATTTCAAGAATCAGTAAGTCATCGGCAGTCTTTAGAAGGAGAAAGCGTTGTAACCATTCTTATTTCTGTTTTTCCTCATTACCGAGCAGGTGGACTTTTATTTGAGCATTAAAAATCTTTAGAACTTGATTCCTAGATCTGTTTTACAGTATTTGGGTCATTTATGGCAAAATTCTTAATCTCTAAACATCAACTCTCTCATCCCTCAGTGTGATTAATAATAGAGCCTACTTCACGATGATTTTTATTAGAATAAAATAGGTATATAATTCACATAAAATACCTAGCACAAAGCTGTTAAAATGTTAATCAAGTTCTCAAGAAATATTAAAACAAATAGAAGTTTAATCAAAACTAATGTCAGTATATGAAAATGTTGACTGAGACTAGCTCCATGTAATAGAAGCAAATACAAAAATTGCATGCAAATTGATGAAATTCAAATACCTTAATCACACTGTGCACTAATTTAGAACATTTCACTAAAACTATTTATTTGGCAAATAGAAAACAATTAAATGTATAAATAGATTCATTTCCCTTTTCACTTTATAAATTTTATATAATATACACGATAGAGTCTTAATTTTCATGTTTAATTGATATGAATTTTAATGGTGCATTGGATATAAAATGTCATACAGGTTCATCGTATTCATTCCTTTTTTAAAATGTCTAATACTGGTGACATCAAAATGCTACCACGAATAATTGCCTGCCAAATAAATCATGCAGCTGAAGGATACTTGGGGCAAATATTTTAATTGATTAAATATATAGTTAACTTTCATGTAAGATTTTATCTTTTCTTTAAAATCTTATTCATTAAGATTGACATATGGTTATAAGGTAATAGGATTCATTTTACTTTTAAAAAGATTATTTCATATTTGAATTACTTTTGGCTCTCAAGGTGACTTGAGAGAGTTTGTTTTCATTGCAACAATGATGCCACTACCTAAAATATTTTTGAACTCTTTTTTTTGAAACTTCCTTCATAGTCTTTGACAAATTCATTAGAATTTATCAAGTGTTCCTTCTTGACCATTTGAAAATGAATTTAAGATTTAGAGAGCACTCAAAGTCATTCAGAACAAAATCTATACAATAAGATGGATCATTAAAAATTACTTATTGTTTTGAGAACAAGAAGTAGAGTTGACATACAATTATGACACATAGTTACAAAGAAATGAGATGTTGCCACACACCCTGAGGCTAATAATACCAGTATCAACAAGAACTTGCTAAAGTTCTAATATGGTCCAGCCACTGTATTAGGTGATTAGTCTGTACTATTTTATATCATCTTTATAGAAACTCAGTATTATTTTTTCCACCATTCAGACAAACATATTGAGACTTAGGTAATATTCCCAAGGTCATACAGTAAAAAGCAATACAAGATTTCAAATTTAGGATTGAGTAAATCTAAAACACATGCTCTCTGTAGTACTTACATTATTCTGAAGGAATACCTCCCAAAGGCTTTAATCATCATGAATAAGGGCAGCATCAATGGAGCAATACATGACCTACCTATGTAATGAAATGAAGGGCAGTGTTTATTTGGATGATGTATTTGTAAAAAGAGATCTCCTTATTTTTAGGACAAACCTCTTATATACTGGTAACTTTACAAATTCAAATGCTAATCACAAAGTATGGAGTTTATATTAAATATTATGCTGAGTAGAATATTTGTTCATCTAAATGAAACTAGACTATAAGCTATTGAATTTAATACAATGTAATGTCTTTTAATATCTATAGTTACTGCAGTGCTTCAGTTAGTGAAAATCCTCTAGAAATTTTAATATTGATTATTTTATTTATAACTGTAATGACTAAAGTAGGAAAGTCTTTCAGATATGCTCTAGTGAAGTATGGATTTATTTCTACCATGCCATTTTCTCTAGAACTTATAACTACCTTTGGTTAATGATACTGAATCCTCCCAACTTTCCTCTTGCTTTTATTAGTGCTTATTTTCTAACTCCTTTGCTAATCTTGTTTTTCTCACTTTGGGTCTTTTAAATGGGTAATCTTTGGGTCTGGAATTGAACCATATTCTTTTCTTACTCCTCCTGTTGTTAAATCACCCCCGATACCCTTGTGAGTGTACTGCAGGTACATTAAAGTAACTCAGCTCACCCTAACCCAAAACTCCTTCCTTCTACAAACCTCCTATACCAGGACTTGCTTTCTTGGAGAACAGTATTACCATACACCAAATCATTTACACTAAATAAATAAAGGAATAAACAACAATAACAACAAAATAAAACACACAACAAACAAAACCCCCCAGAGCTATTTTGATCTCTGATTTGGGAATCTCTGTGTAGTCCTCAGCAAACCCAGCCTCATGTTTGTCATTTACCAAGGCAGCATTTCTTATTGGCATTGCATATGTGGGGAGACTCTAGAAATTAACATTTAGCTGTCTTAACTGTCCAGTTAAAGAAAGGGGAAAGCCTTTGTCCATAGCTGTGGATAAAATGGAAAAGTTTCTCCCTTTAATGCTCTATGCTCACCTAGGAAAATGTCCTTGCCAAGTGTTCCCTCCTCACTGCCATCTTAACAGAAACCTGTTAAGCCAGTCTTTGCTGTATTAGTCTGTTCCTATGCTACTAATAAAGACATACCCAAGACTGGGTAATTTGTAAAGGAAAGAGGTTTAATTGACTCACAGTTCCATACGGCTGGGAAGGCCTCATAATCATTTTGGAAGGCAAGGAGGAGCAAAGTCACATCTTACATGGTGGCAGGCAAGATAGAGCTTATACGGGGGAACTCCCATTTATAAAACCATTAGCTCGTGTAAGACTTACTCACTTACCAGGAGAACAGTGTGGGGGAAACCACCCCCATGATTCAATTATCTCCACCTGGCCCCACACGTGATACATGGGAATTACTACAATTCAAGGTGAGAGTTGGGTGGTGACACAGTAAAAGCATATCATTTGCTAAGCTAATAATAATAAATAATGTTAACAATAATATTAAATTACAGCTAGCACATTTGGAATGGCTACCATGTACTAGTAATTGCTATGCACATTGTGTACATGATATTTAACTTCATCAAGTTCTCTGTGAAGCCAGTGTTAATACTTCATCCATTGAGATCAGGATACTGAGGCCCAAAGAAGCTCAGTAGCATCATACAAGTAACGACAGGGAAAGGCAGATTTTAGTCCCATGTCAGGAAGATTACAAAGCTGGAGCTCTTTTCACATTCTCATGTTGCCATGGCTTAATGCCTTATCTCCTCCAGATTAATTTCCATTTAAACAGACAGCTTATGGGAATAATACCTTCAAACAAATGAGTGTATCTCCAAAGACTTTCAGGAGCTATGGATTTTATTCACATTGCCTGAATTTGTCCATCATCTAAGCAAGATTTCACCTCTTGCCATCCTGTCTTCCAAGAGCTGTCAGGTATGTCTGCAGATGAGGAATTCAATGACTGGAGCCCTTAAAAACCTCTAGAATACCACTGCCAGAAACACCATGATACTCCAAGTGTCTAACTTGTGATCATGTGGGCTTGTTACGAATTTTTTTAGTTGCAGTGATCAGAAAAACTGATTTGTAAATAGTTTAAACACACATAAATTGGTTTTCAGAAAATGTCCAGGTATAGTCAGTGATACGGTTGCCTCACAGGCTCACTAGTTTTATTAAGGATGTATTAAGGATGCATTAAGGATTCTTGACTTTGCATTTCTTACTGAGTTGAATTTTTTACATCATGGTCAAAATAACTGCTGTAGTTTCTGACTTCAAGCCTTCATTCAGCTTAGGAAGAAGAAGGAAGGAAGGAAGGAAGGGCTCTACCCACATCTACCTTCTTTTATTGAAAATACAAAAGCTTCTCTAGAAACCCCAGAAGACATTCATGTGCAATTTCATTGGTCAGCACATGTGGTTACTTTTAGCTTTAAGAGATGCCAGGACAGTAGCGTGATGCCTCCAGCTTTGTTCTTTTGGCTTAGGATTGACTTGGCAATGCAGGCTCTTTTTTGGTTCCATACGAACTTTAAAGTAGTTTTTTCCAATTCTGTGAAGAAAGTCATTGGTAGCTTGATGGGGATGGCATTGAGTCTATAAATTGCCTTGGGAAGTATGGCCATTTTCACAATATTGATTCTTCCTACACATGGGCATGGAATGTTCTTCCATTTGTTTGTATCCTCTTTTATTTCATTGAGCAGTGGTTTGTAGTTCTCCTTGAGGGTTTTTATGGTTTTAGGTCTAACATGTAAGTCTTTAATCCATCTTGAATTAATTTTTGTATAAAGTGTAAGGAAGGGATCCAGTTTCAGCTTTCTACATATGGCTAGCCAGTTTTCCCAGCACCATTTATTAAATAGGCAATCCTTTCCCCATTGCTTGTTTTTGTCAGGTTTGTCAAAGACCAGATAGTTGTAGATACGCGGCATTATTTCTGAGGGCTCTGTTCTGTTCCATTGGTCTATATCTCTGTTTTGGTACCAGTACCATGCTGTTTTAGTTACTATAGCCTTGTAGTATAGTTTGAAGTCAGGTAGCGTGATCATTAAAAAGTCAGGAAACAACAGGTGCTGGAGAGGTTGTGGAGAAACGGGAACACTTTTACACTGTTGGTGGAACTGTAAACTAGTTCAGCCATTGTGGAAGTCAGTGTGGCAATTCCTCAGGGATCTAGAACTAGAAATACCATTTGACCCAGCCATCCCATTACTGGGTATATACCCAAAGGATTATAAATCATGCTGCTATCAAGACACATGCACACGTATGTTTATTGCGGCATTATTCACAATAGCAAAGACTTGGAACCAACCCAAATGTCCAACAATGATAGATGGGATTAAGAAAATGTGGCACATATACACCATGGAATACTATGCAGCCATAAAAAATGATGAGTTCATGTCCTTTGTAGGGACATGGATGAAGCTGGAAACCAGCATTCTCAGCAAACTATCGCAAGAACAAAAAACCAAACACCACATGTTCTCACTCATAGGTGGGAATTGAACAATGAGAACACATGGACACAGGAAGGGGAACGTCACACTCTGGGGACTGTTGTGGGGTGGGGGGAGGGGGAGGGATAGCATTAGGAGATAAACCTAATGCTAAATGACGAGTTAATGGGTGCAGTACACCAACATGGCACATGTATACACATGTAACAAACCTGCACATTGTGCACATGTACCCTAAAACTTAAAGTATAATAATAATAAAAATAAAATAAAATATGTGAAACAAAATACCTATCCTCAGACTACAAAAAAAAAAAAAAAAAAAAAAAAAAAAAAAAAGAGATACCAGGACGGCAGAGTTATTCTCTAGGGCTGTGCACCTGACTACTGGACTTGTTAGCCAGGTAGAAGAGAATGATGGATATAAGACAAGTAATAAGCAGCATCTGCCACACTTCAGAGAGCATATATGAATGCCACTTATCCTTTTTCATGTTGGCAGGGCCTTTGCATTTGTCATCTTTATATTTCTGTAAGCTCTCATATCTGGCCCATTGTGAAGTACTTAATAATTTCCTGTTTTTAAATACAAATTTGAAAGTACAAAACTGTAACATTTTCTTCCCAAATCAGCCTTAAGAAATGGTTTCAATAGGTTGAGAGTCAGAAGAAAAGAATGAGAAGCAGAAGAAATCTCTGTTCAATTTATAGTGTTTTTACTGTGGGCTATGGTTGCAAAAATTTTATCTAGGTTGGAATTCTCTAATGACCACAACCAGCTCAGATGTACAGGCCAATTTAAAGCCAATGTTCACAAATTGTGAAATAGTTGGAAACACACATTAAGAAAGATTGGTTCTGTGGTTTTAAATTTAGTTAGTTCCTAGATACCAAATGTATGGATTTTTAACTAGTCATATGGCTTCAAGAAAATAAAGCAAGAAAATATCCTAGCAAATCACATAAAAGAGAAATGTCTTGGTTTGAATTATCAACCTTAGGGCTTCATCACAGTGTAAGTTTCAAGGCTTATTGTTATTTAACAGCAGTGTTTTCTTGCAAACTTCTATTTGAGATATTTATGACAATGCTCTGGTAGTTTCTTTAATGGGGTTTCAACATTTACAAGTGGGGAATGAGAACCACACATGGTGCCTGATTTTTGAGCTATGGTCTCTGAACAAAACCAGATAAATTCACTTTATACCCATCCTGGCTTAAGAATTCCTACTTTCTCATTACCAGCCATGGCCAAGCATGCCTGTGGCCAGGCAATGCTTGTTTTGCATTCAGGGGCCACTAGAGCAAGAGCTTTTAAGCTATGGCAAAGTAAAAGAAAAGTGAGCTGTTATTTAATCACAGTTAAGTGATCTTGGAATTTCAGGGGTGGAAAAAAACATGAACCACACAAAACTAGAAAATTTTCCCTTGAAAGGGAATCATATGGAAAGCTTGGGAACAATTTACATAATGGAAAAAAAATTCACTGGGCCTGAGATTCTTAAATTTTAGGGTAAAATATAAAATATCTGTTCAACTTGACTAGGCAAAACTCCCCTGGCAAAAATTGAATTCTAGCTTGTGTCTTTCAAAGGTCAGCTGTTACCTGGGCACCACACTTAACATTTATATTTTTAAAGTTAAAACAAATTAAATTGGTAGGAACATTAAAATATGACTTTCTAGGAAAGCCCATTGTCTCACTGGGAGTTATAAGAGGCTTTCCCTAGCTTTTCGTTACTATGAAGAGTCTTCTCCTAGATTTTTCTTATTATGAGGTTAGTGAAAACATGGAACAAGGCCTATTTAGGTTTTAGACTTAGAGTTTCATACATTCATTTTTAACAAATATGGAATGCCTATTAAGTGCTAAGTCTGTTCTAGTCACTGGGAACACAACAGTTAACAGAAGAAACAATATCCCTGCTAGTAAATAGTGCAATGTATTAGAAGGTAAAATGCACTACATAAAAGAAAAACTAAAAAAAGGAAAACAAGAATGGTGGAAGGGTAATGTCAATGATGACGGCAATTTTTTGAAAGATGGTTCAGAAAGGCCTCCTTGAGAAGATGATATTGGAGCAAAGACTTGCAGGAAATGAGGGAATGTTATATCTGAGAGAAGACCATTCCTGTATGGGTGTACAACAGGCTAAGTATCACTGAAGGAACATCAAGGACATCAATGTCATTGGAGTTGGGATTGGAAGACAGTACAGGAGGAAAAGTCAGCAAGGGTAAGAAGGCTCCATCACCAAAACCCTTGTGGGCCACCGAAAGGTCTTTAGTCTGTACTCTCAGTGAAGTGGGAAGCCACTGGAAGCTGATGAGCAGAGGAAAGATGTAGTTTTCCTTGTGTTTTAAGAGAGTCGCTCTGATTATGTGAGAATAAACTGAAGGTAATTGATAACTTTGGTATCAAGCAAGGAGACCTGTTAGGAGTCTATTGTTACAATGCAGGTAAGAGAAGATGATAGCTTGGAAAACAGTTGAGAAATTGTCAAAGTTTGAATATACGTTTAATGTGGATTTAAGGAAATATGCTGATGCATTGCATGTTGCGACTAGGAGAAGAAGAAGAGTCAAAGATGAATCCAAGACATGGGACTTGATGATTGCACAGAGATATATTTATTTATTCTTACCTATGTAAATGCCAAAACAGAGATGAAAAAGCCTGTGGATAGGTCAAGTTTGTGGGAAAACGGTCAAAACGTCTCCTGTACATGTGCAGTTTGGAATTAGACATCCAACTGAAGATGCTGAAGATGAAGTTGCATACATAATTATGGAGTTCAAGGGAAAGACGAGGCTGAAAATAGAAAGCTGAGCTCTAAGTTTGTATTCCAATAAATGATAAATTTATAAAGGTCAATTTTTGGCCTCAACTGAGCAGTATATTTATTCTAGGAGATTTTCCACTTTTGGAAATCAAATCTATTGCAACATTCACATTTATTCATGCTTCATTCACTCAACAAATAGTGACTAAACATTGTCCACATACTTGGGAGTGTACTTATACATGTATTATGCTCTCATGGAGTTCATGGGCAAGAAAGGGAATGAGAGAAGAGCCAGATTGTCCCAACACATGGTGGTAAGTGCATGTTATGGGCAGTGGAGTGTTGTATGGGGTAGAGAGCAGTGGCACTTCACGCAGTTAAGAAGTTAGGGAAAGCCTCTGGGAAGAAGTCATTTATTAAGTGAGGTCTTAAGGGTGAAAAGAAAATGGAAATGTAAAGACAGAGGGGAAAACTGTTTTAATCAGATGAGTACAATCTGTGCAAGAGTTTACTACCAAGGAGAAAAGCATTGTATTTGAGAAAATGAATTTTTTTTTCTTGGACATACCAACATTGTCTAAGAGTTGGAGTTGGAGGTGGATGGGGTCAGAAGAACTAAGACCATAGAGGGCCTATTTAGGGAATTTGAACTTTAAGCTAAAATAAAAATAAAAGCAATAAAAATTACAAAAGAAGTGTTTTATCCATTCAGTGTCCACCAAACAATCTGAGATTTTTCTCACTGAAATTAGGTTAACCATTTTTCATGTTTTGAACAAATTTTCCTGTGGGATTAATACCAGTGTATTATTTTATTATACTTGATATACATACCTATTTTTATTAATGTATCTGTGTTACTCGGTTTCTAATCCCTAGTTCAGGTTAGATGCATACACAGAGATAATTCTAAAGATCTGCAAAACCCCAAATCATACTTGTTTAGTTTGCTGAGAAATAAGAACTCTGATGTTTTTTAGATAGCTGAAAATCTTGAAAAATCAATTAGCAGCAAACATCAAATGTCAGAGACCTATCTGTTGTACATACTGGGTATGAAAATGAAACAAGGTTTTTAAAAATTTCAGACAGCCCAGTTTCCTACCACCTGTTAATAGCAAATATTGGAACACACAGCCAAAGCTGAGTATCCAGTAACATAGTGATAGTTCGTGATACCTCAGGAGGTCTTTGCCAGAAATGTGTTGAATGGAATCTCTTGGAAGACCAAAAGGTGGAATAATGGAAAAAAGACCTGACAGGGACAAAACCCATGAAAGGAAGCAAGTGTAGAAGTTAATGCAACAAATCTATTGTAGAAAAGGGAGGTGAGAAGACCAAAGATTGATGGACAAATTTTAATTTCAAGGTCAAGACGGTGAAACTTGGTCTCAGAAGCAATCTGGTACCTGAGAGTAGCTGCTAAAGTGAAACTAAATGGTTCAGACTGCCTTTCCAACCAAAGGTAGCTGGATCCCTTCACACTCAGCCACGAGCATAGGCAAATGTCACACACAGTGACAAGCTACTAACGTCTTCCCAGATAATCCAAAGGTTTCAAGATAATTTTCAGGTAGTGAAATTTAGTGAATAAAGTTCTGTTCTTCCTGAATTCAATAATACGGTGTCATTCATTGTAAGGTCAAAATTGGCTGTGGGTAAAAAATGGCATAATCTCACTCAACCTAACAGTGAGATTTCTTCTCCATATTCAAGATAGTTAATATATCAACATATGACTTTTATGTTATAATATCAAAATAGAAAAATATTCTTACAGAGCAATTAAGCAATTCACTTATTCAGTCAAGTTTGTTTTGTCTTCTAACTTTTGGTGCTCCTTTAAAAATATTTTTAATATTTATTGGTACATAATAGGTATATATATTTATGGGGTACACGAGATATTTTGATACAAGCATACAATGTGTAATAATCATATCAAGGTAAATTGGGCCTTCATCACCTCAATTGTTTATTTCTCTGTGTTACAAACATTACAATTATACTCTTGTAGTTATTTTAAAATGTACAATAAATTCTTGTTCGATGTAGTTACCCTATTGTGCTGTCAAATACTAGATATTATTCATTCTATCTAACTATATTTTTGTACTCATTAACTATCTGCACTTTCCTCACTCTAATACCCTTCCCAGATTCTGATAACCATCATTCTACTCTCTAACTTCAAGAGTTGAATTGTTTTACTTTTTAGCTCCCACAAATGGGTGATATTATGTGAAGTTTGTCTTTCTGTGCCTGGCTTATTTCACATAACATAATATCAGCCAGTTCCATCCATGTTGTTGCAAATGACAAGATCTCATTCTTTTTTATGGCTGAATAGTATTCCATTGTGTAAATGTACCATGTTTTCTTTATCCATTCATCTGTTGATGGACACTTAGGTTGATTCCAAATCTTGGCTATTGTGAATAGTGCTGCAGTAAACATGGGAGTGCAGATACCTAATCAAAATTATGATGAGATATCATCTCACTCCAGCTAAAATGGCTTTTATCCAAAAGATAGGCAATAATGAATGCTGGTGAGAATGTAGAGAAAAGGGAACCCTCATACACTGTTGGGAATGTAAATTTGTATAGCCACTGTGAAGAAGAGTATGGAGGTTCCTTGAAAAGCTAAAAATAGAACTACAATGTGATTTGGCAGTCTCACTGCTAGATATATAACCCAAAGAAAGGAAATCAGTATATTAATGCCCCATCTTTATGTCAGTTTCTATTACACAGTTCAACAAATGTTCTCAAGAGAGTTTCATGGGAATTTAAAGAAATAACAGGCTGAAGTGATGGGTTCTTTTTGTGGATCAAGATTGTCTGAAATTTGCAATTTTCTATGAGTATTGTAAAATTTCTTATCAAGACCAAACAGGCCAAAAATTCCCATTTATCCAAGAGGGTCAAAATAGCTCTATTTTAAAGAGATAGTGCATAAAATTTGGGTAAGTCTTACATTTTATGCAGAATGTTATATCTACGTGTGTTTTTACTCTTTGGATCCCTAAACTAGTGAAGAGGATTGGAAAACAGTCAAGTTGGCCATAGGAAGAAATAATGTCAGACCAATCTAATTTTCTTTTGTGACAGAGTCACTAGCTTTGTAGATGGGAAAAGCAATAGGTGTAATATATCTTTCCTTCAGGAAGGCTTTGACTTTGCTCCCCAAGACATGCTCATAAACAAGCCAGAAAAATGTGGTTGTTTATTTATGTCAGATGTCAGTTGTGTGGCGGTTCAAGAGACTACTTATGAATGATTCAGAGTCAACATATGGGAGCCCATTTAGTGGCTCTCCAAGTTTGGCTACAGTTCAAAATGTAGAACAATGGCACATCATACCCTCTTAGAATTCAGAATGATTTGCTGATGACTTAGAAAAATGATCGACCTTAACTTCAGTTGATGGAGTTTGAGCAGAATGAATTCAATTATTTTTGGAATAATAGCTTTATGAAAACAGAGGGGAAGAGTTATTTTAAGGAGAGAAATGGAGAAAAATCTTTAGTTTAATTGTCTCTCTCCAAAAGATATGCTTACCTCCTAACTCTTGGTAACCGTGAATGTGACCTTATTGGATATTCAGATATAACTAAGTTAATATAAAGTTATTAGGATACACGCTAATTCAATATGACTACCGTCCTTATAAGAAGGGGAAAATGTCATGTGATGACAGAGACGCCCAGGGAAAAATGCCATATAATGGCACAGGGAGAGACTGGAGTGATGCAGCTGCAAGTCAAGGAACGCCAAGGTTTGACGAGCATCATCAGAAGCTAAAAAAAGGCAAAAAAGAGATCTGCCCAGAGTCTCAGAGGGAGCAGTGCCCTACTGACACATTAATATCAGACTTCTGTTTTCCCCAACTATGGGAAAATAAATTTTTGTTACTTTAAACTGCCTAATATTTGGTACTTTGTTACAGTGGTCTTAAGAAACTAATGCAATGACCCAGAGCAGATGTACCAACCAAATGAAGTTGTGGGTATGAGGATGCATCGATGAAACAATAGAGATCTAGGGGTGATCCAGGACCAATTATTTATTATCTATGACAATAGACCAAACATTGCACTCGAATAGACCTTAGTCTTCTGCACTTGATAAAGGAGAGATGCTGGAGTATAATGTAATTAGATCACATTTTCATAAACAGTATTCTATTGGGTGTATCCTTCTCCAGAAAACAAATGCTTACCTTTATAAAATTTTGCATAACATTTTAGGCACTGCACAGCCCTTTTGCAGCCCAGCACATGGTCCCCAGTTTAGATCCTCTGCATGAAACCATGCTGCCTTGGAAGCAAGTCACACTGTGGTGATATTCTCTATCATCTTCTCATGGCAGGAATGACCAGTAAACTAACAGGAAGAAACGGAGTCCTTAATGTATTTAATCTTCTGTGCTTTGCCACCTCTCTAACCAGACGTATTGTCCAAGGTCCTGGACAAGTTCTGTGTTCACTACAAAGCTTTTCTTTGTACTGTTTTACTGCCCTATCTTTAATATTTATTATTAGAACTTCATGGTATAACACTTGATTACTTGTATCTTCAGGAATTGTGTAATGTTTTCCTTGCTTATGCAAATAGAATATGAAATATGGCTCCTTGAATGATGAAAGGATGGTAAGGATGAAAAAGCAAAAACCACACACACACACACACACACACACACATATATGCTGAGAAACCCTCACACCCATAGTCATTCATTGTGGGAACCCCTGCTGAGGATTTTAATTCCAGCTTTGGTCTTCCTAAACATCAATGTATGGTAGGTGGTGGTAAATATTTCCTTCCATATTCGAAAGAGAAGTGCAGAGATAGGGATGGAGGAAAGGAGAGAGGGGAAGAAAGAAAAGAGTGAGCTTGTATATTGTGATTAATTATTACCTGTAAACTTCAAGACAGACAAAATGAAATATGTGGACACACTTTATTGGGGAAGGAGGAGGGTTATAAAAATCACCCTCATCAACCGGGTGCGGTGGCTGACGCCTGTAATCCCAGCACTTTGGGAAGCCGAGGCGGGTGGATCACGAGGTCAGGAGATCGAGACCATCCTGGCTAACATGGTGAAACCCTGTCTCTACTAAAAATACAAAAAAAAAAAATTTAAAAAAAAAATTGCCGGGCGTGGTGGCGGGCGCCTGTAGTCAGGAGGCTAAGGCAGGAGAATGGCGTGAACCCGGGAGGCGGAGCTTGCAGTGAGCCAAGATGGCGCCACTGCACTCCAGCCTGGGGGACAGAGCTGGGGGACAGAGCGAAACTCCATCTCAAAAAAAAAAAAAAAAAAAAAAAAAAAAAAAATCACCCCCATTGTTGTTAGTTTAACATTTTTTAATTGAATTATGGGTCAACATTACACATAAGCTTTAACAACAGGCTTGATAGCCACCAGTGTGGATGATGAGAACACAGGTTCACTCCTGAACTCCTTTCAAAGCACCAACCACATAAGAAAAATCATTACACTCTCAAAAGTAACAACGCCAAAACAAAGTCTCAAAGATTGAGCAGATAATTCCATGGAGGCCTATTCAGAGCACCTCCTTCCATTATAGTCAATTTACTTCCATATGATGTTTATTTCTCTGTCAGATATTTATAGCCCTAATACCAAAAGTCCATTGAACATCAGCCATTGATACAGTAACATAAAGCAGATTTATATATTCAGCTTGTCTAATACTCTGTTGGGAAAGGAAGGCATTGCTCAACATAATAGCCTCCATTCTTAAGAGATTTTCCTTTTAAAATGTTGTCTTATAAATACAAGATGAGTTGAAACTTGTGTGCTCTAAATATTTTAAGGGATTTATGTTTGCATTAACTGACCTTTTAATCAAACTTCAGTGCATTGCTACCACTGCAGAGGTTTCAGGAAGAAAAATATTACTTGCGGTTTTCAAAGTTAAAAGTTTTCCAGTAGAAAGGAAATCTAAAAAGTTCTTAAAAGATGACATTATGAACATATTGTCAGACTTGTTATTATTTGTAGAAAATATTCCTACATTAAATTATAGTGTGGATTTAAAAAAACTTCCTTATTACTTTATCTTGAATACTTTCTAAGAAAGTACTGTATATTTGCATGTCTGCATTTGTGTGTTGTTAAAAATATGTAATATCTTACCTGCCTGGCCTCTATTTGCATATTTTATTTTTATTTGATGTATTTCAGTTTCTAAAATATTGGCAGAGTCTTCAAGAACTAGAACATCTGGGGCTGGGCATGGTGGCTCAAACCTGTAATGCAGGCACTTTGGGAGGCTAAGGTGGGCAGATGACTTGAGCCCAGGAGTTCAAGACCAGCCTGGGCAAGATATCTAAAAAAAAAAAAAAAAAGAAACCCTGTATCTACAAAAACCTGTATCTACAAAAAAATAGAAAAAATTAACCAGGTTTGGTAATGCACACCTATAGTCCCAGATACTCAGGAGGCTGAAGAAGGAGGATCGTTTGAGCCTGGGAAATCGAGGCGGCAGTGAGCAGTGATTGCGCCACCGCACTCCATCCTGGGCAACAGAGTGAGAGCCTGTTAAAAATAAAATAAAATAAAGCCTGGCATACATTATAGTTGGATCTTACTCCATTGATCATTTCCTCCCTTGTGATTCATTCTTTCTTCCTATCCACTGCACTTTCCCCTCAACTAGAAACCTATTTTCTGTATTCCCCAAATAACATAGTCCTCAATTTTGCACCATTTTCTCTTTCTCTTCACCTCCAGACTTCTTGAGGGAATAGCTCATACGTTGGTTCCACTTTCTCAGCATCCATTTATTCCTCAACCCATTATAATCTGAACCCAGTCTCCAACCACTGCCTGCAATCTCTCTTCCTCCAGTCCGTAATAACAAAACATATTAATGGCATTTTGTTTATTTTGTTGGCTTTGTCCATGCATTGAGTCATAGGTAAGCAAATTTGGGAGAACATAGATATTGTCATATATAGTGTTTTCAAAATTAAGCAATGAAACTTTCTTAAATGCTGTTCAGATGCCCAATATAGACATGGGGCTGACATAACTGAACTGAGATGGGGCTACATTGTACTAATTAGAAATCTATTTGAATGCCAGTTTTAAAAATTCCTGACTTATAAAGGCTTTAAAAGCAAGGAAATCATTTCTGTAATTGTACAACAAGATTGAGTTAGGTTGCCACTGTTAGTGGTTTAGCTTCTGTTCTTGAACTGGTAATGAAAATGGTGATGCAGCCATAAGCACTGGGTCCACTTTTCAAAGCAAAAAGCTGGTAGAAGATAAGAAAGGAGTGGAGAGTCACTCTACTTGACCTCATTAATTACCAGGAAAGCAAAACCTTTCCTAGAAGTCCTTCCTGCAGTCAGCCCCTCAAATGCAGAAGAACTCAGTTGGCTGCCCCTAGCTCCAAGGCAGCCTGACAGAGAACAGGCTTGTCATAATGGGCCAGATGAGTTGTGATTCATTGCTTGGGTACAGAAGAACTCTGAACAAGATCAAGGTTCTATCAGTGATAAATAAGGGAGGCTAAGGTATTGAGGAACCATATAATGTTATTTACACTACCTACTTTCTAATCTGCCTCATCTACTCACCTTCCTCTTTCTCTTCCTGTAATCTTATTGCATGGAAGAAATTTTTGGTGAAGACAAGTTGTCTGTTTTTCTTAAAATCATTTTTTTAGCTAGTGGTATGTCTCGAACACTTTCCTAATAGTTCATTGAGATAAAGTCATAACATTTTTTTTTTCTTTCTTCGCTACCCTCACTCATTGCCCCATTGGAATTGACTGCAAATTGCAATTTTCTAGAGAAAGAATCAGTAATCCTTTCTACACAGTGGCCTTGGTGATTTCAAAACTTTAAGAATATTTAAAATATTCAAGTTCTTTCTCCAAAAACTGGTGACTTTCTGCTGCTGAGCTCCTGAAAGTTTTTGAGAAGAAAGTTGAAAGGTTGAAAATGGTGCTGTGTTTATTTGAATATCTGAAGGGTAAACTCCAAGCTACTTATCTGAAAACAAATATTCTCTGAAACCTGCAGAGTAAAGAAGTATAACTTGACATTTCTTCTGCAAGAAAAAAACAAGAAGATGGTGACTTTCAAGACCTCAGTCAATGACTAAAGTTCTGTGACCACAGTGAGGTACGGTGTCTGAACTAAATGTTTTCCTTAAATATTTTAGTAATTTAGAACTGATATTCTATGTATATCATGAAACAGAAAGACCAGATAAGCTGTAATATGAAAGCAATGTAATTCAAATTAAATGGAAGAACACATAATAAAATACAAAACTTCTCAAAAAAAATCTCCATTATGCCTGTTTGTAGCAGTATATATTCCTAACTGTATTAATGTATAATAGTTAGTACAAATCATAAAGCATATGATAAAAATGTAATTTAGTATTCTTTGGTAATAATAAATATCATTTGTTGAGTAGTTAATAAAATTATAAGTGCAAGTTCAGAACATTTTAGGTTCTGTTTAAAAAAAAAAAAGCAAACACAAATACTCATTATTCTTGGTATTATGTGTTCAGCATATTACTGCGGTAACCAGGGCAGTAATGTCAAGACAAAGGTCAGGGTTGGCTTTAAGAAAGAAGCCTGAGAACCGGAACTACATAGAGGCCAGAAAATCAGTGTCTACATGCTAAAGGCAATTTTCAGGAACAAGTACCAGGAGCAGATCAACAAAACAAAGAAGATCAACAAAACAAATAAGGAAGGTGGTTTTATGAACCCAGAGGGGCAGTGGTTATGAGTTGTGGTGCCACTTTATTCAACCTTATCTGCTTGGAAGTTTTTCTCCTACACCATTAAACCCCTCACTGAACCAAACTTTGTACAGACTGCAGCCAAGAAGGGCTGTATTATGGCTTTCTTGGACCTCTTCATCCACAAAAATATTAAAAATTGTATTTCATGACTTAATGTTCTAATTGTGTTTTCTTAGATTCTGTATTTGTCTATTTGGCATCGATTCTTCACAGGGCCAATACTGAATTTATAATATTTTATTATTATCTATATTCTTGTTGCTCTGGCATTTGGGAGCCTTGTAGACCATGGAGAAACTCCTCCTCCTAGGGCTAGCTAATTCCTAAAGATAATAACAATTTGCCTATGAACGCAGGCCTTTCATATGCAAACCAACCAATCCATTAATTACTTCCTTATCTAACTCTCACACACTAAGCCAATGTTTGCCCTGCCTTAAATTATCCCAGGGCCAAGTATCACTCAAGTGGAGGCCATCCCTATAGCCCAAAGTCGAGCCGGAATTTTTAAAGCAAGCCCTGTTCTAAATTGTTTGCTCTGCCCTGTTTTTCCTATGGAAAACCCAATAAAGCCTGTGGTCTAATGCTTTCTCTTTGCTCCTTTCTGCCTTCTGACAGACACCCATGCCTTCTCTGTGTCCCTGCATAGCATGAGATGTCCCCTCTCTGCGACCTTTGAGTATGATAAATTTCTTTCTTCCAAACCTCCTTCTCATTTCCTCCTATGAATACACAATCGTTATCAACCATATGATATACAACATTTACATTCTCAGAATACTGACTTGGAATAAATATATTGACATTATGCATTCAAACATTTAAAAATCTGTAAGTTCATTTTTTTTTCTGATTTTAAAAGAAATTAAAATGTTCTTATAGGTCCCTAAAAGTATCATGGGCTTTTGACAGTAGGTCATGTCTGCCTAGTGGATAAGTTGACTGTGGAGTCAGAGATGGCTTGCTTTTGCTGACATCCTTGTAAGCTCTTGAGAAACTGAATTAGAAACAGATAACCGTCATTCTATGTGTAATAAACAGAACTCTGGCCCACAGACTCTGCAGCAACCATTGCAGGAAACCAGTTACAATCTCTTAAGATTGGTCCAGAATGGTCACGATTTGGTCAACAACTGCCAGCCTCCTTATTTTTCATCTTTTTTTTTTCTTTTTTCCAATTCAGAACCAACCAGAGAAAGCTAAATGTGATCCCCAAACCCATCACATAAGATGTCTCACTTTTTGCTAGCCTACCTCCATTGACTCCAGTGCTATCATGACAATGACCTCAATTAAAACATGCCTAACACCTTTCCTTTTCTCCACTCTAAAGCTTCCCCACTGCTTTGTCTGCCTTTCAGCCTCTGACAAGTTGAAGTGGTGGCATGGATGCCCTTGCTGTAGCAAGCTCTGAATACATAGCTTATGTTTGTTCTCATTTGGATGGTCTTTATTTCCACATGCCCTATCTTCCTTGAGGTTTTTAGTTAGGACACTTTCTTCCCACTGAAAGCCACCTGTCCTGCATATCTTCTAAAGAAAATGTTGATAGTGTGTTCCAAGATGAAAAACAGATAATCCAATGAGTTTATCTATAAAAATATAAAATTTCTACATGTCTATGCTTCTTTTTTCAGATAAAATTCTTACATGAAAGCCAGAAACACAGGAATCTCATCTTCTAAATATTTTCTTTATCCTAAGAAAACACAAAAAAAGTGAATAGAGTTAAGTGTAGACTAGCAGCGCCAGCACAAGTATCACCTGGGACCAAGTTAGAAATGCAAAATTTTGGCTCCCACTGCAGACCTACTCTGGAGATCTGATATACTTTGAGAACCATGGCTCTGAAGCAGACTATCCTGGACGGGCTCTTGAAATTCTCTGAGGCTTACTTTCTTCATATATATACAACGTAGTTATGAATTCCTTGTTTCCAAATTTAAAGGTTGGTTGTGAATATCAAGTTATTAATGTCCTGAAAACATGTTTTCATGATGCTTTCTCTGAAGAAAGAAAGGATGAACTCTGCTATATAATATTTTTAAAGTCTTTAAGAGAGGAGTTGGGTTTTATTTTAGACAAGCAATTGAATGTAGATGGGATTTAAATTAGTTTTAAAAAAGGAAATGACATTCTAGTTGAGGAGAAAGGAGATTGTCAATCACTGTGCCTCCTTCCTAGCTCTTCAAATATGGCTAGCTCCAGGCTGCATATGACGATGATCCTAAAGTTGAGTCCCAGAAGCTACAATGGATGAGTCACTTATACATAACACTTATTAGGTCAGCCACTTAATAGCTGTGTTTCATTGAACAAATTTTTCATCCTGCTTGTAATTTCGTCTTCTTACCTGTCAAATGAGAATAGGAGTGTGTATTAGGCTATACAAGAAGCATGGCTGGAGAGGCCTCAGGAAACTTACAATCATGGGAGAAGGCGAAGTGGAGGCATGTCTTACATAGCTGGAGCAGGAGAAAGAGAGGGAAGCAGGAGGTGCTATACACTTTTAAACAACCAGATCTTGTGAGAACTCACTATCATGAGAAGAGCATGGGGGGAAATCTGCCCCCATGATCCAGTCACCTCCCACCTCCCACCAGGTCCCTCCTCTAACACTGGGGATTACAATTCAACCTGAGATTTGGGCGGGGACACAAATAAAAACCATATCAGAGTGAAAATATTTACCTCACAGTGTGGCTATAAGCAGTAATTGAGATCACTTATATAACACATTCTTCCCAAGAAATATTAGCAGGAAGGATAAGAATAAGATATTAAATAGTTTTTTTCTGTTACGCTGATCTATGCAACTGTAATTTGACTTAAGTTCCTCTCAGATGGTATTATGGGACTATCCTTATTGTTGAGTTGCATCAATAATTAGCTCCCATGTTGACTCTGGTATCTGTGATTACTCTCTCCTTTTTTTTCAGAATACTTTGCCTTTGATAATTGCCATGCTAATAAGTAGCAAGGAATATTTAAGCCCACCAGTTAGGCTGTTCTTTTTGTTCCTGCTGATGTCCACATGGGGGTGTTGACACCCAAGACTGATGGCACAGATATTTGTTCAAAGACACTGATGTCTAATGTGGAGGTGCTACAAGGGTGGCCACCAATATAATCACCATCCTAATGTTGCTGTTTCAGTAACATCTTCATCACCACTACCAATGTTGTAATTACTGATGTCTCACATTCTAAATGTCCTAAAGAAATTGTGGGAAAAAAATAGCTCTCTCTTTTTTTTTCACTCTTCTTTGACATTCCTTAAACCTGTTATTTGGTCCTGAGGCTATGAGATAGTTTGATTGACATTGCTGTGCTATTTAAAAAATCATGCCATTTCAGCTGGGTGCAGGGGCTCACACTTGTAATCCCAGAACTTTGGGAGACTGAGGCAGGCAGATTGCTTGAGCCCAGGAGTATAAGACCAGCCTGTGCAACATGGTGAAATCCTGTCTCTACACAAAAATACAAAAATTAGCTGCACATGATGGCAGATGCTTGTAGTCCCAGCTACTCGGGAGGCTAAGGTGGGAGGATCACTTGGGCCCACAAAGCAGAGGTTGCAGTGAGCTGAGATTGTGCCACTGAGCTCCAGCCTAGGTGACACAGTGAGAGCCTGTCTCAAAAAAAAAAAAAAAAATTATGCCATCTCATCAGTGCTGCCTAATTATCTTCGAACCAAGCTCTTTGTCTCTTATTTATCAGAAGGCCCCTTTCTTCCTTAATATAAATGGTGCCTTATGGGTTCTACCTGACTAATTCTCTGAGTTTGCAAAGAAGACCTTGAGTTCTAGACAAAACACAGCCTAAGTTTGGGTTGACACCTCTTATACATGTATTCATAGAGAAATATGTGTGTGTGTGGAGACATTTTAAAGATGTAAAGCCTTATAAGAACAATGTAGTAACAACCCATCATTATCGTCATGACTTTAACCTTGGTGTGGTGGACAGATTTTAAGGTGGCGTCCATGATCTTCAATTCCTAGTGTTCGTGCCGTTGTGTAGTCCCAGCCCCTATGACTTGCTTTTAAACAGTAGAATATGAAAGGTGATGGGCTGCCCCTCCCATGATTGTTATTACATAAGATTCTATCTTGCTTGAAGACCCACTAGAGCAATTTCCTTTCACTGGTTTTGCAGAAGCAAGCCAACATGAAGTAAGTGGCCATACTAGAGAAGCCCATATAGTAAAGAAGCGTAGGAGCCTGTATAAGCTGAGAGCAACCTCCAGCAAGAAACTATAGCCCTCAGACTTGCAGCTTCAAATAAATGAATTTTACCAAAAACCCAGAGGAGTTTGGAAGTGGCTATTTCTCCATTTGAGCCTCTGCTGAGACCTGGATTGCAGCCCCATGAGATTCTTAGGCAGAGGAAACAGCCAAGCCATGTCCAGATGCCTGACTCACAGAGACTGTGAGATAAAAAATTGTGGTTTTAAGTGGCTAACTTGGTAGTAATTTGTTGTACAGCAATAGAAACCTAATACTCCATGTTAAAGAAACAAAATATGGGGGGAGTCATTTCATTATGAATGCTTGAATACCCTTCTTACCTAATTTTTTAAAAGATGTCTTAACCTGTTTTTTACACGCATTTATTATTATGGCTGTCGAGTAGTATAGTTTGCTTTATTACTATTTCCATTACAAAAACAATTAACAGTTTATGCCTAATGGAATTATAAAGGTGTATTTTAAGGCATGTGACCTTCATAGTAAAGAATTAGGGATTTCCAGTTAAACATGATTAAGTGAACATACGTTTTTATGTCTGCTTAATCAAGAAACTCACTGAAATAGTAATAAAAATAAAACAGGCATAAATCTAAAAGGAGCTAAAGAACAGGGAAAGCAGCAGTACTAGATGAAGATTCCAATTACAATTTTTGATATTGGAAATGCAAAAGGACAAGTGACAAGGCAACTGACTTGAAAGAGGGAAGGAAGTTCACATTTAACTGCACATAGAACCCCAGAAACACTTAGGAGTTTAACACGGCAGAAACCTTTGAACATGGGAGCACAGAATAGTGTTAAAAATAAGAGGTTCTAAGTCTCAGTAAAAAGCAATTAAGTCCTCTTATGTCCTCATCTCAAGCAACACAATTAACCTCTTCCTGTATTAACAGAAATAGAAGTTTTCTATATAGAGAGAGTGTATCTTGGGGGTTCTAGATTTGGGGACATAAGCACCTGAAGGCAGACATGAAGCATAATATTGAAATCAAGACAACAATTCAACAGTGATACAGGGGCTTTTAGAATGCCTTACCTCCCCAGTTTTCCCCAGCTCAGCTCCTGAACAGGGCAAAGAGGATGACTCTCTGGAAAAACTAAAAAGTCAAAAAGAAACTATCTCTGGACAGTGAGAATTTGAGAATTTACTAATGAAAGAACTCAGCTAGCCAATATTTCTGGGAAGCTCATCGGTCAAACGGATCCTTGTTTATATTCACGTATGCAGAGTTTGCATTGAGGATTGTAATGACTCAAACACAGACTCACAGGTGTTCTCTTTCCAGTAATGGTGTACTACATATTTTGCAATAAGTCTCTCATTGAGAACACCTAAGAAAGGTAGGCAGAACTTTTAGAAATTATGTTTGAATGCATCAGAGAGCTGCTAAGATAAATGATTATGAGGTCTAAATCCAATCCAGGAACATTTTTAGGACTTCTGGACCCATTTCCTCACAGAGGTTATATTTTGTAGAGGGCCAGATAGTAATTGTTTCTGATTTTGTAGGCCATTTGGTCACTGGCACAACTGATCAACTCTGCCACTGTAGCACCAAAAGTAGCCATAGACAATATTACATCAATGGATATGACTGTGTTTCAGTTAAATTTTATTGATAGAAACAGATTTGATGAATGGGCCGTAATTCCCTGACCTCTACTCCAGAAACATTTGTCAGTTATGAATGAGGTGAGCTTTCAATATGCTCATAGCACTAGGGGGACAAAATTTAGTGCTAGAGGCCCACAAAGAAGAAGATGTGAGCGGCTTTGGATTGGGACCCTAAAGGGTTGTTCTTTAGAAATAAAAGTAGGCTGGGAGCAGTGGCTCACGTCTGTAATCCCAGCACGGTGGGAGGCAGAGGCAGGCAGATCATGAGGTCTTGAGTTCGAGACCAGCCTGACCAACGTGGTGAAACCCCATCTCTACTAAAAATACAAAAATTAGCCAGGTGTGGTGGTGTGCACCTGTAATCCCAGCTACTCAGGAGGCTGAGGCAGGAGAATCGCTTGAACCCAGGAGGCGGAGGTTGCAGTGAGCCGAGATCATGCCATTGCACCCTAGCCTGGGCGACAGAGTGAGACTCCTCTATCTCATTTTAAAAAAAAAAAAAAGTAATCTAGAAATAGACCAGTCCTTGACAAGATTAAGACCTGGCTTCAATTCATCTACATCCCTGATGGGATTAATTTGACTGGTCTTTACTAATAGGCTAACCTAGCCTTCTCAAAGCATACATATATTCTACCAGGATGATAATATGATCTTTCATAGCCTTCTATTAATACTATAGTTTCTTACATATAAAATATTCTGAACTGGGGGAAGAGACAGGATCAAATGGAATAAAACTAAAAGAAACATTTGACAATAGAGACAGACCCACAGGGGATAACAATGAAATAATAAGAAACCAATTTTAAAATATGTTCAAGAAAATAAACAAGTGGAAGAAAATAACTTGCAGATTGAGAATTTTAGGCTGAGAGTTGGAAGTTATAAAGAACTGATAAAATTCTAGAGCGGAAAAGTAAATTGAGAACTCAAAGACTGGATTTAACAAGAGAGCAGACACTCCTGATGAATTAAACTCAGAAAGGCAAGTGATGAACAATAGAAAAAGGTACATAGGAAACATAAGACATGGTAAAATAATCTAAAACATGAGTAATTAGAGCCCCAGAAGAACATAAGAGGGGAATAAAATGGAAAAGTGATATTTGAACAGATAATGACTCAAGTTTTCCTAAACCAACAAAATTGCACCAAACCATGGATTTAAGAATCACTACATAATCCAAATAGTTTTGAAGCAAAACCAAAACAAGAAACCTAAGAACGAATAGTTGGATTATTAAAACCCCAAGCAAAACCAAAACAGAAACCTAAGAATGTTGTAGAAAAATTATAGAAATTCAATGCAGAGGAAATCTAAGTGCAGCTAGAGGGGGGAAAAAAAGAAAAAAGTGATAGCAATAAGACTAACAGCTACTTCTCAACAGAAACAATGTAACCTTGAAGACAATATAACCATATTTGCAAAAAGTGCTCCAAAAATATCACTCTTGACCTAAAATGCAATACCAAGTAAATATTGTATTCTAACAAAGGGGTCAGCAAAATGTGATTCACAGGCAAAATCCAGGGTGTTATCTGTTTTTGTAAGCAAAGTTTTTTGGGGGAACAAACCTAATTATGCTCATTCATTTACCTATTACATGTGAATGCTTTCATGCACTAGAGTAGTTGGAATATTATGACCCCAAAAGCCTAAAAGATTTACCATTTGGTTCTTTACAGAAAAATGCTGACCCTTCTAAAGTAAAAATGAAATGCAGCCTTATTAGGAAAAACAAAAAGTGAGAGATTTTTTCTTGGCAAATCTGTTCAAAAGGAAATTTGAAGCTAATAAACAGAAGTGAGAAAAACGAGCAATAGCGATAGCAAATAAGTATCAATAAATGAACATTGATGCTATAAATCATAATATTTGTGGGCTTAAAATGTGTTTAGAATTAAGATATACCGCAGCAAAAGCATATAACTTAGGACAGAGTATTTGGAGCTAAATGTTGTAACACCTCTACATTATTTGGTAGGTGATATAAGTACTAATTTATGTTAGACTTGATACATCAAAAATGCGTTTAGCAAAGTCTAGAGTAAACACTAAAATAATAGCTTAAAAAACATAACTACCAAATTAATGAAGTAGAAAAAATGAAATAGAACAAAGAAACAAAAAACTAATCCAAAAGACAGCAAACAAAAAGAGGAAGCAAAGAATCATAGAATAGTCAAGAAAATAAGAAGTAAATAGTGAGGGGAAAATCTTAATCCTAAATATATTTGACAACACTACATTGCATGTGAATAGAAAAAACACCCCAAGTAAAGGTTTGAGTGTTAGATAATATTAAAAAGTTAAAAAGACAAACTATATTTTGACTCTAAAAGCCACACTTTAAATGCAAACAGAGAAATTGATAGTAAGCACACACACAAAAGACTATGCCAAAAATAAAAAATAACACTAGCCCCAGGAAAGGTCTATTTATATTGGTATTAGACAAAAAGACTTGAAGGTAAATTTTTTAATGTACAGAGAGGTATTTTGTAATGGTAAATAGTTTATTTCACCAGGAAAGTATTAAACACCACTTAAAAAAAACCCCCAAAAACCAAGTAAATGGAGACATAGTGGGGAATTTTAACCCACCTCAGCGCATGATAGAAGAAGTAGGTCAAATAATTCCTAAGGATATGAATTCAGACAACATTACTAACAAATCGTTCAACTGACATATATAGAATGCTGCACACAATAGCATGCAGAATGTGTGTTCACTTTAGATACATAAGAACCATTTACCAAAAATAAACATATGCTGGCCCATGTTGTCTGTCTCTACCAATTAAAATCATATAGAATATATTCTTTGAACATTAACAAATGTCATTTATTTCCAGATTTTAAAAATCTACATTTATGTTATACATTATCCATAAGTTTGGCTTTTGCTATATCCCACAAGTCTCAATAAATGCTATGTTTCTTATAATTCAGTGCCAAATATTTTCTAATTTCTATTGTTGTGTCGTCCTTCACCCATGAATTATCTCGAAATAAACTTCTTAACTTCCAAACTTAGGGAGCTTTAAAATTTATCTTGTTGTTCTTTCACCTGCATTTTACTATCTTTAAAAATATATTCTATATTATTTTAACCCTTTGAAATTGGTAGAGACAGAATGCTGAGCATAATCTCAAGAAGTTAGGAAAAATAAAACTGATAGAGAATAGAAGACAGAAAATAGAATAAATAAGAGCAGATGGTAACATAGGAAATATAGCTAACATAAACTAAACTGAAAGTTAATTCTTGGGGAAAAAAACGACAGCACTCATAAACCCTTAGTAATAGGAAAAAAGGAAAAAAAACACTAAAAATAGCACTAATGAAAAAGATGAAAAGCTACTAACAATCTTATAGACACCAAAAAATGGTAAAATGTTGTAAATAAATATGAAAGTTTAGAATAAATGGGAAAATAAAAAAGCATATCTTACCAAAACTGAAACTGTAAAAAATCAAAGTTTATATGGTCTTATAGTTATTAAATAAATTGAATCTGCAATTTAAAAACTAAGCATAAAGTGGCTTCATCATTAGCATCAAATTCATGCATACTATTCTAGGGAACGGCAAAAGGGAGATATAATTCCTAAGTCCTTTTAACTTAGTAGAAGTATGGACATTAGACTTGAAAAAATACTTCAAAAAAGAGATCTTAAAGTGACCAATAAATATAAAAGGGCCTCAAATAATTAATAATCAAGGAAGTGCAGCAAACAGAAGAAAATTTCAACAAAATGTATATTTATATCTTAGAAGGCAAAAGAGCATACAGCACGTATAAAATCAAAATACTGTAAAAATGAACATTCAGAAACTGAGAAGATATTTCAGAGTTTGAAAGATCCTAGCAGAAAACCTTTAAAAAGAATATGTGGAAGATGAGTTGAAGAAAACATCTTCAAAATCAGAACGAAAAAGAAAAAGCTGAAGAGAATGAGAAAAGAGAAGCCATTCCCTGCCTCCCCCCATGATATCTAACATGAGTTGGATCCTTACTATTCTGAGCCCCTTATTATGAGGGTCTATGGTTTTTCCATTCTTGTTATGCATGAAAGGTAATATGGAGAGCTATATGTATTTTAACCTGCTCAATAATCAGCATGAAGATTTGGAAAAGGTTTCACCAATCAACACTCTTTCGTTGAAGGCTGTGTCTTCACTGCCTACAACAGAGGTTTCCAAACTTTTCCAGATTAGCTATTCATTTTCAAATTTTACTCATGTATTTTATGTACCAATATTTATGACTACCCTGAAATGTTATGTTTGCAATGATAAACTGCAAAATCTATGTAAATTTATACACAATGACTATCAGAGCTTCTGATAGTTATTCCAAAAATACTCATAATAGTAAAGCTCAATTGTTAGAAACATTAAAACCATATGCAAATTGCTGAATAAAAGACATGTTAGCCTCAGTTACATTATGTATAATATGAGGACATCCTGACTCATGGCAACACTGCAAATATTAAATGACTCAGCATCATCTTTGTCATTAGTTATTATAAGCATTAATTATTAATATTGTCATTATCGTTTCACATTCAATTGAGCTGATATAATTCTATGCCAGAGCAGAAAAAATTTAGTTTATCTGACAGAGGCTTCTTGTTGGTAACTGCTCAGTTTCTATTCTGCTTTTTCAAATAATGAAAGAGGTTCACTAGCCCATGTTAGCATTTTTGTATATTACTACTTATCTCCATACACCAGCTTGGAAATCACTTGCTAAATTAAGGAAATAAGGAAATCTTAAGATCTACTTTTAAATTGATGATTTATAGGGTTATATCAGAATACTCCTCTTTTTATTACTCCATTTAAATCAAATATAATATGCTTTTAAAGCAGAAATAAAACATATTCAATAAAAAACCTTGAATAATAGTGATATTATTTAGGTTGTGATTCAAGTTATAGGTAATTCACATAGATCTCCAGAATCATTTTTCTGCCTCATAATGGATATATAAAGTTATATGCATAAAATATGAGTAAGTTAATGCATCTGATATGGAAGTGGTGTGCTTGGTGTCCCACCAGAATATTTGTGAATAATTTTAAAAGATATTTCATTTTCAAAGCCTCCTGTTAACTGGAGGAAAGGAGAGGGGCTTCAACTGCAAATAGAGGGACTTAAATTAGTTATGAAGTCAAATGCCCAGATGAGAGGATGATTTAACACGGAAATGGGATTTTTGAGGAACCATGTTTTCCAGAGCCTTTACATAATGCTATTCCAGAGGCTAGAGATTTGTATATTCATTCTCCACTCTCAGATCCACCCTTTGGAGTCCTCCAAATACTAACGTATTTACCGGCATTGTGGATGTCATCGCCATATTCTTTCCAATAATTTCGTATCAAGCCATGATTCAAACCTCTGGTTTATTTCACTGCAAGTGGACCTTGCTTGAGAGCCATTAGAACGCATTTTTGGAACGGTTTATTATGGCTAGTGTTCCATTACTGGAATGCTAAACACAAGGGAGTTATTTATATCCTACTGCTCAAGGTCATCGCCAAGGTCTAATTGCAAAAATTCAAAAAATTGCAACCTCAGGCATAAATGGATTAAGGGAAAAGCCCGACAATTACACCGACTAGCCAACATCATAGGACTCCTGCAATCCAGGCCATCGCAGGCCAAGGTTTTTGAAGGAAGCCCTCAAAGAAAGGAAGACCCTTTTATTATCTGGATTCATGTGAGTTTGCCATTTTGCCATCTGGTGGTTTTCTGCTGTAATTACAACCATTTACCAGTTGACAGGGAAACAATTTCACCACAGACTTAATGAGACGAAGTCTTGTGATTTTGAGAAAAGGGAGGCAGCCATATATAATTATTCCAAGAGACATAATAAGAACGCCCAAAGAGAATTCTGATGTCTGTGGCATATGCTTATGATTGCAGTGATCCTAAAGGAAATCTAAAAGACTGAAGCTGACAGATACTACCATATGCTATAGTTTGAATGTATACCCCAGATCTCATGTGTTGAAAACTTAATCCCCAAATTCATACATTGATAGTATTTGGAGGTAGGGCCTTTGGGAGGTAATTAGGATTAGATAAGGTCATCAAGGTGGGGCTCCCATGGTGGGACTGATGGCTTTATAAGAAGAGGAGGAGGGAGCTGAGATGGCATACTCTTGCCCTTTCACCTTATGATCCCCTCTGCCATGTTATGATGCAACAAGAGGGCCTTCTTTAAATGCCAGCACCATGCGCTGGGACTTCTCAGCCTCTGCAACCATGAACTAAATACACTTAATTTTTCAAAAAAATAAATTGCTGTTTGTGGTGTTATGTTACAGCAACAGAAAACAGACTAAAACACCATATTACCGGATGCCACATAGATATTGCTTTCTGATGGTGTGTGTGTGTGTCTCTGGATGTGCAATGGATATCTTTGCATCAAGAAAACAGCTTGAGAAAGTGTTCTGACCTACTCTAGGAGAAAACCAAATAATAAGCATAATAAAAAATACCTCTTTATAAATACAAACATGCATAATTATGTCAAAATGCTTTCTACCTTAGTTGTAACTCTGAGATATCTAGTAAGACATCTATTTCTCAGCAGGGGCTCCCCAAAAGCCTAAGTCATAGTTAAAAGGGAAACTTAGCTAACCTGGACCCACACTTTAAAAATTCATAAGTTAAGTGATCTTTTGTTTCACCTTAATTTTTTATGATTGTTTTTGTTTTACCTCATTTTCAAGTTATTGCAGTATAACATCACAAAGAGAGTCTAGACATTTTACCTTTAGTCATTAGAAATCCCCATTATCTCCTGGTATCTTATGATTTTAAATTTCTGTTCATGGGACCTAATGACTATAAACAGAGTGAAAAATGCAGCTTTGAAGTCTGGAATTCCTCTGGGCTTTTTAGAAATGATTCCTTCTTTTAACCTGTGAAGAATCCCTCATTAACAGATCCATCCTGCAATATTTGAAAGGAACTTATAATATACCACCTACAGTGCCTTAAATTGCACCATTAGCAATTCAAAACATCTAGTTTGCCTGGGAGTGGGTAATGTGAGAGAGAGAGAGAGAGTGTCTGTGTGTGTGTGTGTGTGTGTGTGTGTTTGTGTGTGTGGAGTAAGGACACATTACAGAGAAACTTAATAATTTGTTCTGAAAATGACTGGTCGTGACTATAGAATGCCTGGGTAAACCCACGATCATGGATGGTGACCTCCCACTGTAGGCTTAAGTATTAATATCTATATAGGCTAGTATCAATTTTTATGTCTAAAAATTACTTTGTGTCTGAATTACATTTCTTTTCTCTTTTTTCTTTTTTGTTTTCTGAGCCAGAGCCTTGCTCTGTGGTCCAGGCTAGAATGCAGTGGCTCAATCTTGGCTCACTGCAAACTCCACCTTCCTGGTTCAAGTGATTCTCGTGCCTCAGCCTCCCAAGTAGGTGGGATTACAGGCCTGAACCACCATGCCAAGCTAATTTTTGTGTTTTTAGTAGACCTAGGGTTTCATCATGTTGTCCAGGCTGGTCTCGATCTCCTGACCTCAAGCAATCCTCCCGCTTCAGCCTCTCAAAATGTTGGGATTACAGACATGAGCCACCGCACCCAACCACTGAATTACATTTTTGTTTATGTTTTGTTCAAAGAATTATGTGTGTTCATTTGCTCAAGAGAAGTATTTTAATAGGAACAGTTGAAGAATGTGTGTGCTGGATGATGCCAGAAGTGTTTGTCTTCGACATTATCCATGGCCTGGAGAATCTTGAGAAGCGCTGATTTAGTCAGTTCTTCCAGCTTTCATCCTGCTGACTCCAGAGATACTTGTTTTCTTTTCTAGGCCAGTGGTTGTAGCCCACAAAGACAAATGTTGTTAGGAACTGAATGCATCAGAATCTGCCGCACATTTCACTCAGGAATTGGTGATCTTCTCTTTTTCCTTCTTTTCTCCAACAGTTGCTTATATTCCAAGATTTTTTTTATTTTATTTTGTTGTGCTATAGGGACTTGTATAATATTGTCTGCTCACTACTTCTTCCACCTTCTGAAACCAGCAGAGCATTTTTTGGGAAAATACTCCAGTGTCTTACCTCCTAACTCTAATCCAACCATGGTGAACACAATGCTGGGTGCCATGCTCTTATAGCCTCCATATTAGACCATAGTTGATGGTGCAAGGATAAGCACCTGACACACGGAGGACCTATCATAGCTGATGCTTGGAATGTTTGAGCTTAGGCATCTAGAGATAATACAAATCAATCCCTCTCTGACAATGGGTGGGAAGTCATGTTTGAGAGCTGGCAGCCATTGTATTTTCCAGCACATTAACGAAGCCAGTTTGCCACAGGAGAGTATGAGGTTGACCTTTCCAGAAAGTAGAAATAATTTTGCAGCGTTTCAATCCTAGATTCTGTTTGATCCTGAGGTAACTTACCTTTCAGCTGTTACAAAAGATAACTGTAATTTATTGTATATGTCCCTTAAATATATTTTTCATTTTTGGATAACTTTGTACAGTTTGAGTTGATGTCAGTGGACATGCAGAATGTTTCTGCTCTGGCAATTTTTTTCCACACATGTACATTGTAGAAAAGCCTTGGCAAGTCCATAGCTTCTGACATGGACCTGTGGTTCCCTTGTTTTCTCCTTAGAGGGCTAAAGAAGACATTTAAAAAATGGAGTAAATAGGCCAGGCATGGTGGCTCATGCCTGCAATCCCATCACTTTGGGATGCCAAATCAGGTGGATTACCTGAAGTCATGAGTTTGAGACCAGCCTGCACAACATGGTGAAACCTCGTCTCCACTAAAAATACAAAAATTAGCCAGGCATGGTGGCATGTGCCTGTAATCCCAGCTACTCGGGAGACTGAGGCAGGAGAATTGCTTGGACTCGGGAGGCAGAGGTTGCATTTAACTAAGATAGCACCATTGCACTCCAGTCTGGGCAACAAGAGTGAGACTCCATCTCAAAAATTAATAAATAAATAATAAATGGAGTAAGTGAAAGTAATAAAGGAAGTGGTCATATAAAAGCAGTTTTGAGAAGGACTTTGGACAGGGCTAGTTCTTGCTTGACTTCTCAAAGCCCAAGTGTGCTGGGATAATGGGTCCTAATGTCCCTACAAAGTCTCTTGTTCAAATCTACTTGAAAATACAGCTTATTTCTCAGAGTGATTGCATGTATTCATTAGATTTAATTATTGAAAGTTCTTTTCTATTTGCAAAGTAGTTTTAAGCATAAGCCTTACTAAGATTTGGCTTCTTATCTGATAGAAATCTCACCCAGCTCAGAGGGATTCAGGACAAGTCCTTATATTTGATATCTACAGTGAAATCAAAATGTAATCCACAGTGAACTTGTGCAAGTTTTTTATTTGCCTGTATTAAAAGTAAATTGTACCCAAATTATTCACTTTAACATTTGCTACCGAATATGGTGATTTCATTGTTGTTAATGATGACTTAATACCTTTCTAGGGAAAGGTTGCATTAGGTGAAAGGAGTAGTTGACCCCATCAGTGTGAACAATTCAGTTGGTGGCAGTATATTCTCTAATTAGGAAAAATGCTAGAAAGACTTCCTAAGAGTCCTGTGCAATGGGGGAGTTGACCATCTCTATGAAATTGTAAGAAAATCTCATTATAGAGACCATTGTAGAAGCAAATGGATCAGGTGAAGCAAATGCATTTAAAACATTTTTCTTCACTCAGTGGAGATTGCTCCAAGCTTATGATTTTCACCAGCTGCTTTACCACTTCCTCCAAAAGTCTCTGCAGAGAGTCCTGGGCTCAGAAAAAGCCGACAGACCTTAACGTCAACAGAGCTTTTCACAGTAAGAGTCTTTCCCCACTCTTCTAATAGTTTGAATCTGTTTCTCCCCTGAAATCCCTTATTTCTGTAACTGTCATGTCTTTCTCAGTGCCATTAGTCGTAACTCTACTAATTTTTAGTTCACTGCTGCTAGATCGGTTCCCATACAGATTTAAGTATATTTAAATATAGCTGCATCGGAAGGGTGTCATGTCATACATTAGTCAACTGAACCACTCTATCAACACCACCACCTTGAAATAAAGAGAAATTTGATTCAAGTGCATACCTGCTACATCTACATTTATCATTCAAACGGGGAGAATTTTGAGAGTAGAAGTGAATACTATTTATCATTCTACTGAATCAATAGGTGAAAATTAAACATTTTTCAGAAAGTCAGGAGTGAAAATTCAGAAAAGACATAGAGTTTCTTAAATTTAGGGATTAGGATTCTATTCACACTTCTATTGGATAGGGTGGTGTGTCCACCCACCCAGCTCCCATTTATTTCTCTGAAAACTACCTTTGGTTTTGGAAAGTCTTGTGTCATGACCCCTGCTATGTAGGAAGGTGGCCAAAGACTCCACCTTTCTGGGAAAAACTAGAATTTGAGTTGAGCCAAAGTAGTGGTAGACCCAGAACAAGATTAGCCAATCAAATGGTTTATTTACCAAGCAATTTAAAATTGGGATTCAAAAACACTGGTTAGTCTGTCGGTATTTTAAACTGAAAGATCACATAAGCAAGGCATTGATAATCACGTGAACGTAGACCCAGGGAAATTGCTTTGCAGAAGAAGAAAATCATGAAGAAGACATGTAGAGTGAGGCAGAGTGATAATTCCATGTGTTTCAGAGAAAGTGGAGACAGGGATTGGCTGTGCCTCTGCTTTTTTCCGGTTCTGGGTTCCATGATATATCTGGGACCACAATGCACTTGAATATTCTTAAAATGAAGTCTCCCTTTTATGTAAGATGGTTTAAGTACATCTCTTTTGCTTGCAACCCAATATTTCCTAACAAAGGTATATATTAGTTTAAGAAGCTCTTTTCCTGTATATCCCCTATTAATTCCAACAACGTGGGCTAAGCCTTGGTCTTTGCAATGAATGTCAATATGAGAAAATTATAATTACTTATTGAAAGTAAATATGCTTTAATTTCCTTATGGAATCTAAGGGCCAATTAAAATATGCCTTATATTTGAATTGACATATAATTAGACTTGATGGGAGAAATGGTATTAGGAATCTAATTTTCCGGTTATTCCTCCTTGCTTCAGAGTTTAGCTGGTGTTTGCCTTCAACAACAGGAAATACTTATGAGGTAGGAAGGCTATGGCATATTCTCCCTAGTTCTTTTGCTCTTATTATTTTTTATTTTTTCAAACCCAAATGGGCTGCTCCAACTTTATCAAATTCCTTTAAGGTTCTGAACATATGCTAACTTTCTTTTTTCTTTTTTTTTTTTTTTTGAGACGGAGTCTCGCTCTGTCGCCCAGGCTGGAGTGCAGTGGCGCGATCTCGGCTCACTGCAAGCTCCGCCTCCCGGGTTCATGCCATTCTCCTGCCTCAGCCTCCCGAGTAGCTGGGACTACAGGCGCCCGCTACCACGCCCGGCTAATTTTTTGTATTTTTAGTAGAGACGGGGTTTCACCGTGTTAGCCAGGATGGTCTCGATCTCCTGACCTCGTGATCCGCCCGCCTCGGCCTCCCAAAGTGCTGGGATTACAGGCGTGAGCCACCGCGCCCGGCCCATATGCTAACTTTCAAGGAGCTTCAGATATGGTAGAGTTTGGCTCTGTCCCCACCCAAATCTCATCTAGAATTGTAGCTTCCATAATTGCCATGTGTTGAGGGAGGGCCCTGATGGGAGATTATTGAATCATGAGGGTGGTTTCCCCCTATACTGTTCTCATGGTAGTAAATAAGTTTCATGAGATCTGATGATTTTATAAGGGGTTTTCCCTTTTGCTTGGCTCTTATTCTCTCTTGTCTGCCACCGTGTAAGATACGCTTTTCACCTTCCACCATGATTGTGAGGCCTCTCCAGCTATGTGGAACTGTGGGTCCATTAAGACTCACATGGGTCAAATGGTAGTTCAACGCTTTTCCTTTATAAATTACCCAGTCTCAGGTATGTCTTTATCAGCAGCGTGAAAACAGACTAATACAAGGTGCAAAATTCTAACATACCAAGTTCTGAAGATTCAAGTAAAAGAAAAAAAAAATGGGAGTGAAAAAGCCCACTTATCACATTCTATAGGAGGAGTGAAAACTGTACACATGAAGCATGAAGGAAAGCACACCTGTTTACATAGCATAGATCAGCAGTATTAAAGGGACAATCTGGATCCAGAGATGATTTCAAAGGGAATAAGTGAGTTTTATCTCATAGAAGCATTACAACACATTCTCATTTCCATGGAGATTTGTCTTGCTACAGTCAAAAGGAAAACAGAAAGAAAATCTGCCATGGTAATTTAGCGATGAAAAATTAACAACTGCTTTGTTGTTTAATGATTACTCTTACCTTCTGATATCTAACTGATAATTAAATAAATTAGAATTATTTGTAAATATTAGAAGTGACCTTGCTATAGAAGGCTAGAATGCCAATGTCTATTGCTAAGCTGATTTTTTCTTAGTTTACAGTTATAAACTATACTGCACACTTATTAACTGATATACTGAGACTATCAAAGGGCATTGAATAACTGAATCTGAGATCACAGGTTGATATTTTGGTCAAATCATGACAACCCTGTAGTTAAAAGGTTTATATATCATGTTGATGCCTCCAGAAGCATTAGCTGGCCTTATCTTTGGTAACAAAAAGAGGCTTCATTAATCTTCATGAGGCCATATTTTCCCATATTTAGAGGAACATATTAGTATGCAAAACTTGGAAATATGATATTTCATAAACAGCTATTTAACATATTGCAGCTAATCAATCATATCTAAGATTTTTTTCAATACATGCTAAATGGTTGTTTTATAAAGTGCAGGCCTTATGTAGTGCAATGGTGTTGAAGAACTGGACCAACCTTAAGTTGGATATTTAAATGTGGATTTTCAAAAAGGATGTTGTATCATTCAGGGTTCAGCCAGAGGAACAGAATCAATAGAAGATATATATTAAGAGATTTGTTACAAGTAATTGGCTTATATTATTGTAGGGGCTGGCCAGGCAAGTTGGAAATCTGTAGGTCAGAACATCAGGAAGAGCGAGCTGGAATTCTCAGGCAGGGACTGGAGCTGCTGTCCCCAGGCAGAATTTTCTTCCCTTCAGGGAAGTCTCACCTCTGATTTAAAACCTTTGAACTGCCGTTATCAGCCCTACCCTTACTTAAAGTTCAACTGTTTATAGACTTTAATTACACCTACAAACTACCTTCATAGCAACACCTAGATTAATGCTTGGTTGAATGATTGAAAACTGTAGTTTAGCCTGGTTAGTAGATCAAAAAAGAAAATCACAGATGTCTAGATAGTGCACTAACACACAAAGTGAACCTCAGGTGTAATCTCATGTTTCTTAGTGTTGAAGTAAATTAAAATGGAGACCAGGCCTGAAGAATCCCTGAGCAGACAAAACCAGTTAGCCCTCATAAGTGACCTCAAACTCGCGTAAGTTGCAAACATTTGTGAAACTTAACTTGGGTCATTTCTGGTAATGCTTGTGTTAGACAGAAATAAAACTTAGTCCCAGCCAATCATAAGCAGTCAACCAACATACAATGATGTGATCTGGGGCTTTTCAACAAGGTACCTAAAACTAGGCAAAGCAATCAAATAATTCCTTGTTTTGTTTCTGTATTTTTCTTTTTTTTAAAGCCATTATTTTAGAATCAGGGGTACATTTGCAGGTTTTTTACGAAGGTATATTGTGTGATGCTAAGGTTTAGAGTACAAATGAAACCATTACTCAAGTAATGAGCATAGTATCCAATAAGTACTTTTTCAGCCCTTGCCTCCCGCCCTCTTTTCCCCCTCTAGTAGTCCCCAGTATCTATTGTTCCCATGTTTATATCCACATCTACCAAATGTTTAGCTCTCACTTATGAGTGAGAACATGCAGTCTTTGGTTTTCTTCTCCCATGTTAGTTCACCTAGGATAATGGCCTTCAGCTTCATCCATGTTGCTGCAAAGGGCATGATTTCTTTCTTTTTTATGGCTGCATACTATTCCATGATTTATATGTACCACATTTTCTTTATCCATATCACTGTTGATGGGCACACCTGGGTTGATTCCATGTTTTTGTTACTGTGAATAGCCCAATGATGAACATACAGTTGCATATGTCTTTTGGTAGAACAATTAATTTTCCTTTGGGTATTTACCCAGCAATGGGATTCCTGGGTCAAATGGTAGTTCAACTCTTCAGTTTCTTGAGAAATCTCCAAATGTCTCTCCACAGAGGCTGAACTAATTTACATTACCACTAACAGTGTATAAGTGTTTCTTTTTCTCTGCAGGCTTGCCAACATGTTATTTTTTGACTTCTTAACAAAGCTATTCTGATTGGTGAGATGGTATCTCATTGTAGTTTTCATTTGCATTTCTCTGATGATTAGTGGTGTTGGCATTTTTTCATATGTTTCTTGGCCACTTGTATGTCTTTTGAGAAGTGTCTGTTCATGCCCTTTGCTCATTTTTTAATAGAGTTGTTTGGTTTTTTTGCTGGTTAATTTGTTAAGTTCCTTATAGATTCTAAGTACTAAACCTTCATTGGATGCATAGTTTATAAATATTTTCTCCCATTCTGTAGGTTGTCTATTTACTCTGTTGATAGTTTCTTTTGTTGTGCGGAAACTCTTTAGTTTAAATGGGTTCCACTTGTCAATTTTTGTGTTTATCACAATTGCTTTCAAGGACTTAGTGAAGGCCAATATCAAGATGGGTATTTCCTAGGTTTTCTTATAGGATTTTTATAGTTTGAGATCTTACATTTAAGTCTTTAATGAATCTTGAGTCAATTGCCAGCATCATTTATTGAGTAAGGAATCTTTTCCTCATTGCTTATTTTATCAACTTTGTTGAAGATCAGATGATTGTAGGTGTGTAAACTTTTTTTCAGGTCTCTCTATTCTGTTCCATTGGTCTGTGTATCCAACAGCAGTACCACACAGTTTTGTCATCGAAAAAATAAACCTCTTTAAGTTTGGTTCATTCTTCATAATTCTCCAATTAATTAATTGTTGTTTACTCAAATACACACTAAATGTTTATTGTGCCCCAGATTTTTCTTTAACATTAGTGACTGGTTAATTCCTTCATGAATCAAATGCATGCCAATTCCAAGAGATCAAGTTGAAAGAGACACCCTTTTTGTTTTGCAAATCATGGGATTTATGAAAAAGATGAAGCATGGGTGATGGAGAGAACATTCTCAAAGAAGCATAATCTCCAATTTGAGAATAAACATTTCCGTTTTGCTTTGAGTTGGAAAAAAAAAAACCTCTCTTTTTCATCTTAGCATTACTCTAACAACAGGTGACTGTTATCCTGCACAAATGTTTTATTTCATTGACATTGTCTCTAAATGATGATTCAGTGGCAAACCTGAGCATGAGTTCTGAACTACTACTTCTCTTTCTGTGTTTCACAGACCTTAGAAATTTTATTGGAGGATGTCAACCGGGATTAATGAAAGTATTTTCTATTATATCATATTTAAACACATAGATGACGGGAGAGTAAACTAACTCATAATAAATAGCATGTGTTAATGCTTTCATCTGAATTTAAAATGGTGGTTTTCTAATAAATTTATCATGGGTTAGTATTCTATTGGTCAAAATGGGTTATTATACTTTATTTAGAAATGATGGCATTTCTCCCTGGTGGTAATGGTTCTTTCCATTTCAGACATTCACATAGCCAATGGATGCGATTTTGTGTGTGTTATTTGGATCAGCAGATAAAGATGACAACAAGCTATGCTTGTTGTTGTCTTCTAAAATCTGACGGACTGACATATTGAATATTGTTCAGGTCTGGTAACTCTGTAGTAGTTTATCATCTATTTCTTTTATGTGTATTTTTCTAATGGCTTAAAATGTCAGATTTTTATATTCATTTGTGTTAATGGTTTGACAACCTGTACAATCCATGTCATTTATTTCCTAGTTTAGAACAAATATTTGTATTACGTGTTGTAAATGTCCAGTGCCTCTGCATGTCTGGAAGTGGCATCAAATTCCTTTTTTCTTTGTTTTTGTTTTTTCTCATTTTTTTCATTCCATATTACAACAATGAAACTAACAATCTCAAAAAAGTATTAGTTACCATTACTGAGTGCCTATTATTTGCCACTAATCCTGCTAGGAACTTTACAATTAATCTCTTCTTATCCTTTACAAACATTCTTGTATAGTTTTATTTTTCATTTTATAGATAAGGAAAGTAAGAGTTAACTAAGTTAAATACCTGGCTTAAGATCGCACAGCTTCTTCACATTTGAGCTGCTAGTTCAGCTTGTATCTCTCTGTTTCCAAACATAAATTCTTCTCTACCATTTCATCTATCGTTAATTTATTATTTGACAATATACACAACTGTAGATACCAAGGGAATGGTGATTTTCAAAAGATGAAATCTTAAGTCAACTTTTTCAGGTAGATAACTGCCTCCAGAAACTCTCTCCTTTAGAAACGGACTCCATACAACTTATAGGGAAATATCAAAAACAGTCAGTCACCATGAACCTCTTTAATTCTTACTATGGTTTGAGATTTAGAATTCTTGGGGGTATGGAGGATTTAATTTAAATAATATAAAACTTACTTTTATATTTACATGTATTTAAAATCATGATGTCTAAGCAAATTAATTATACAATTAGGATCGTAGGGCAAATGTTTAGCCCATGTTGTAGGACTGGCTGATTTAAAGCACTTTAGAAGTGCCATTAACATAAAAAATTGCTGTGCTTCTTTGAAAGAGATCTACTTATTATCTATTCATTAAAGCTGATCAAAGAATTTTGCTTGATAATGATTTGTTAGCCTTCTTCAAGTTTCTATATTTACTGAAAAGTCATTAACCTGCACTCTTTAAGCATATCATATAACGGCTTTGGTTCCATACTAATCATGATTGTTCTCTCCAAGTGGTCCTCAGCAGTGAAGTTTTTCTATATATAGAATATGCTTAGATCATATGTGGTGGGTTGTTTTTTTTTCTCACAAAATCTTAGATATCTAGACAGAAATAAAGTGTCGGACTGCATTCAGAAATGACCATTGGACAGATATTTTGATGAATTTTGCTCAGTAGTATCAGGATTTATGGTTGTAATGGCCCCTGGAGCCATGGGACTACATAAAGACATCATACTCCAATTCATGGTTATTATTTTGGGTTATTGTATTTACCCTCATGAAACCAAGAACCACAAACCACATGAGAGGTTTATAGTGTGACAGACAGCTCACGCCCATCCCATCTCAAAAGTCTGCATTAATATTTTCAAAAGACTTAGTACATAAGAACTCTCTTATTTCAGCCCAATTTTTTGTAAATCTGTTTCCAAATCCTGTCCTCTTGCCACTCCAAAATAGGAGTGTTCATATCACATTACATCACATGGTAGAGAGAAGGGCAGAGGCAGAAAGAGAATGTTATTAGAAAAGAGTAATGAGAAAACATCCCCATAAATTAGGTAACATTGATTCTCAGAAGACACATTCTCTTCCTTATAATCTCTGAGAATCTAGCTATAGTCAAGGAAGGATATGTCAATTTGAAAGGCATGGCCTAGGGCCTTCTCCATGGCCAGAGACACTCAAATTATATAAATTCTATGTATTGTGAACAGATGAAAATCATTTACACACAATAGGGTAGGGGGCATAGCCCAGCTTAACAGGTAGGAAAACACAAAGCTGGATGGCACTGCTTAATACAAGTTGACAGGGGTCTGAAACAGTGCCTCATCTGAAGGACATGGAGAGAAACATTTTTAACCAGATGATTTTTAACATCAGGAAAGGATTGAGGCTGCAAGAGCCACATGACTTTTTTTCTGATGAATTAAACTTGCTTTTTCCTTCCAAACCAGTGAGTGTGTACAGATACTTCCAGAAGTACCTGAGTGTTCATTGTACTCATATGTGTTCTGCGGACATGAAGTCTATAATAATATTATGCTTTGAGCTACACTACCATGCAATGGAAGAGAAATTGCTATCTTGCCCTATGGCTTCTGTGCTTTCTGCTAACTGCCACTTTCACTGAGTATCTCAACTTAATTTCCTAAGTAAATAGCATTAAACTTGTCACTGCTAATTTTCTCTCAACATCTATTAAATATCCACATTGTGGATTTGTTTTTGACAGGAAAATTTAGGCTGGTTCCGTTTTATGTTTCAGAAATATGTCAAGGGAAGATTAGCTCAGAGACAATACCTGTCATGAGCCACAAAGAAGACAGATGAGTGTGTACATGAGTGTGTACAAACTTAGCTATACAGTTTCTTTAAAAAATTAAATCTGATTACCTGTCTATAAGTGCAAACTATTTTGATTAAATTCTATAAAACAGCAAAAAAGAATTTTAGTCAGTGTGCCAATGTTTTCTTTCAGAAATCACATCAACCAACTGGTTTTCTGCCATTTGTAATTGTAATACTAATTCTGCCACTATGCATGTTGAGAGAGGTGACAGTAACATTTTCTTCTTATTTTTAGGAAGCAGTTGTTCTTTTAGGGACAGGTCCTTCAATTCCTCTATGAAAAATCACAAAGGCTCACATAATACCAAAATTTGAATAAAATTCCAGAGCATCATGAACACATTTCTACCTCTCCACAATCCAAATGTAAGCATCTAGAGCATGGATTTTTGACCTTGTCCTAAAATTGTATAGTTCTTGAGACTTGTGATATCATATTAATCAATTTTGCATTATTCACAGAGTCTGATTCAATGCCTTGAAATAAGCTGGTTCTTAAATATCTGTAGAATTGATTAGCATAGAAATAAAGTAGGATCATTTTTACATTTACATTGTTAAGACCAATTATTTTTTTAAAAAGATATTTTAATATCTGCTCTGAAACAGAATAGAATCCAGAAATTGAAATCAACTCACACATACATGGTAGACTTATTTTTAATAAAGTTACACAGGTGATTTAGGAAGGAGAGTATATCTTTTTAACAAATGGTGCTGTAAGAATTGGCTATTCATATGGGAAAAAAGTGAACCATGGCCATAACTAACATCACACATAAAAATTAACCTTAAATGGAGCATAGAACTAAACATAGATGCAAACACTATAAAACTTCTAGAAGAAAACATAGTCAAAAATAGTTGTGGCATTGGAGTAGAAATTTTTTTAGGGCACAAAATTCATAAACAATAATGAAAATCATTGATAAATTAAACTTATCAAAATAAAAAACTTTCATCCTTAAAATACACAAATAATAAATGAAAATTCAAGCCACAGATTGGGAACAATTATTTCACTGTATCTGAAAAAGTGCTTGTATCCAGAATTTATAAAGAACTCTCACAGCTTAATAAAAAAATGACAAACCACCCAGTTAAGTAAATGAGTCAAAGATTGAACAGGAATCTCACAAAAGAAGATATACAAATGTCACATAAAAGATTTAACGACTAAGGAATGAAAATTAAAACAATGGAATACCATTACATTCCCCATAGAATGGCTAAAATGAAGGAGACTGATGATATCAATTATTAGGATGTTGATCAACTGGAACTCTCATACACTGCTAGTGGGAGCACAAAATGGTGCAATCATTGAGAAACAGTTTAGTCATTTCTTCTAAGGTTAAACATATGTTTATCATGTCACCTGCATGATTCTGTGTTCCTACTTATTTCCCATGAGAAATGAAAACATATGTCCATTTAAAAATTTGTGTTCAAATTTTTATAGCAGCTTTATTCATAAAAGCCCAGACTGGAAGAGTTTAAATGTCCATCAACAGGTGAAAGGATAACAACAAAAATAATTGTGTGTTTGTTTTGAGATGGAGTCTCGCTCTGTTGCTCAGGCTGGAGTGCAGTGGCATGATCACAGCTCACTGCAACCTCCGTCTTCCGGGTTCAAGCAATTCTCCTGCCTCAGCCTCCCAAGTAGCTAGGACTACAGGCACGCACCACCACACCCAGCTAATTTTTGTATTTTTAGTAGAGGCAGATTTTTGCCATGTTGGCCAGCCTGGTCTCAAACTCCTGACCTCAAGTGATCTACCCATCTCAGCCTCCCAAAGTGCTGGGATTACAGGTGTGAGCCACTGTGGCCAACCTCAATAATGTGCATTTTTAATGACATATTTTGATAATATATCGTAGTATTATTCAGCAATAAAAAAGGAACAGACTACTGACATACACATCAACAAGGATGCATCTCAAATCATTTTGAATGAAAGAAGCTAGACACAAATAAGCACAAACTGTGTGATTCCACTTATGTGAAATTCTACAGTAGACCTAATGACAGAACACAGCCAAGAGTTGTCTGGAGCTGGGTATGTGTGTGTTGGCAGAGGCGGAGAGGGGATATAGACTGGGAAGGGACAAAGGGGAGCTCTTTAGGCTCTAATATTTTATATCTTGAGTGTTATGGTTATATGGTGCAGATATTTGTCAAAATTCATTGCACTTATAACTGCTGCATTTTATTTTATGCAATTATATTAGTTTCCGGGGGCTACCATAACAAAGTACCACAATCTGGGTGGCTTAAAACAACATAAATTTATTCTCTTACAGTTCTCTAGGCAAAGAGTATGAAATCAAAGTGTCAGCAGGGCCATGCTCCCTCTGCAGGCTCTAGGGAAGAAGCCTTCCTTGCCTCTTCCTAGCTTCTGGTGTTCCTGGGGGATTCTTGGCTTGTGCCAGTGTAACTGGTATGCCTCTGTCTTCACATCGCCTTTTCCTCTCTGTATCTCTTTGTCCAAATTTAAATTTCTGTATTCTTGTAGAGACACCAGCCATTAGATTAGGGGCCATCTCATTTTAATTTGATTATAACTGCAAAGACCTTATTTCTAAATAACGGTATAGTCTGAAATTCTGGGTAGACATGAATTTTGGGGAACACTGTTTAAACTAGTAGAGCAATTCATCTCATCAAAGCTGATTTAAAATAAGTGAGAATAAAGATATATCATACCTTCTTGATATCCATTAATACTTTTGAAAAAGTCAATACATATTTTCAAGAAATATCCAGAATTCTAGACACCACCACCTGCATGTGCCAATTTGATGATAAAGGCTTTTTTTTTAAAATTAAGGAATAATTGTCAATGCTCACAGGAAATAATATTTGGAGAATTTTACTTTACATTCAAGGGGTACATGTGCATGTTTGTTACCTGGGTGTATTGTGAAATGTTGGGGATTGCACTTGTAGTATACCCATCACCCAAATATTGAACATTGCACCCAGTAGGTAACTTTCCAACTCTCACACGCCTCCCACCCTTGCCCCATTTGGAGTCCCAGGTATGTATTATTTCCATCTTTATCTCCATGTGTACTTATTGTTTAGCACCTACATATTTGGACTATTGAATTGCTAATCACACTGCCCAATTAAGAGCAATAACTTGAATTTCGTTACTAACAAAAATCATGTTTAGTAATAGCCACAGAATTTCTGAAAGCACAATTGTTTCTTGGGTTCAAACGTGACTTATTACTGCTTGTGAAAGACCATTCTGTCTAGTACCCAGCAGAGTCCTTTGCACCTCTCAACCCTCAGTGCAAAGGCACTCCAAGTCATTTAGAAGCTTAGCAGCCTTTTGCTCGGATGAGGGGACAGCAGGGAGACACAGCCAAGGAAAGGTCAAGTAGGGGCATATGAACAAAGTTAATGGGAAATTTAATAGAGTCCTCTGGTTTCTCGCCCCACTTCCTGGCACTGGCTCTCTGTGTGGGAGTGACCCCATAGAGAAGTTTTGCTCGAGTAATTTGGCGTACATCCACTTAACAGAAGGCACAAGGCCAGAACACAGCGGTTCAAATCCCACAAGGCAGGTTACTTGTGTGATGGGATAAGAGGGAGGCAATAAAGCTGGCCCATCAGAATCGGTCAGCTGCTACAAGAAGGAGGATGGAAGCAGCTTTAATTGCTTCCTTTTGCTTAAATAGGAGATACAAGACAGATTTTCTGTCTGTAATCGCCACACAGAAGAATGGGAAGAAAAACTTAAACATACCAACAATGTGCATAGCATTTTACAGCTTAGAAATTGCTTTATATATTTTTAATTTATTCTTGCAATAAACCTATGAAGTTAGCAGGGCTTATTGGCCACATTTTATGGAGAGAGGAGTTGGGTTAAGTGAATTGTTCAAGGTAGAGAATGAACCATCTGGGATTCAAATTTAGTGCTTCTGGCATACCTATTGCTTTTATTATGGTTATTTCTAAGATCACAATAGTATCCCTACTGACTGATATGTTACCTCACAAAGAGATATTGAAGTGAATAAATGAATTGTCAGCAATGTTCACAATATTTCCATCTTCAACCAAACAGCCTTCTGAGGTAGGACACCCTAGTGAGATAAACCAAGCTTTATTCCTAAATGTCATATTGATGAGGCTCATGTTAGAAGCTTAGCAAATACTTGATAAAAGAATGAACAGACATTACTCAAGTACCCACCTTTTAGAAAAACAAATTTAAAAGATTAAGAGTATATAAACAATGCTATCTCATATGTGTTACCATGGCTTTCCCATTAAGCCACATCCAAAAACAGCCTTGAAAATTTACCAAATTGGTAAATACTAACATGGGTCAGTGTTCCTTTCCTATCCTGTGTGTAAGAAATGCTGTGTTTAACATGGAACTCATCTTACAGGTCTCAGCTTACATATAATACTCTCTGCAAAGCCCGGTTTGACTCTGTAAGTCTGGGCCCAAACTCAGTAAACGGAAGCTTAAAGGCAGTGTCTGTCTCAGGTGATCAAGCAAATAGTGAATAATCAATAAATACTTTCTCACTGAATTCTCAAAGAGATACTAACAAGTGAAACTGCTCATGGGGTTGAAATGATGAGAACAGTTGTCCTAGGTATCCACATGGAATTGGTTCCAGGACCGCTGCAAATACCAAAATTATGAATGCTCAAGTCCTCTATGTAAAATGGTGCAGTATTTGCATATAACCTAGGCACATCCTCCCATATGCTTTAAAATATCTCCAGATTACCTACAACACATAATACGATGTAAATGCTGTGTAAACAGATGTATGCTGTGTTGTTTTTCTATTTGCATTACTTTTATTGTCACTTTTTTTGTTTTGTTTTTGTGTTTTTTAATTTATTTTTCCATAAGTTATTGGGGTACAGGTGGTATTTGGTTACTTGAGTAAGTTCTTTAGTGGCGATTTGTGAGATTTTGGTGCACCCATCGCCCGAGCGGTATACACTGCACCATATTCGTAGTCTTTTATCCCTTGCCTCCCTCTCACTCTTCCTCCCAAGTCCCCAAAGTCCATTGTATCATTCTTATGCCTTTTCATACTCATAGGTTAGCTCCCACATATCAGTGAGAACATACGATGTTTGGTTTTCCGTTCCTGAGGTACATCACTTAGAATAATAGTCTCCAATCTCATCCAGGTCACTGCAAATGCTGTTAATTCATTCCTTTTTATGGCTGCATAGTATTCCGTCTGTCAGAGTTCTATACACACTGGCTGCAGGCATATTCCAATCTTGTCAGAACAGTAAATCTGGGGAGTCTTTTTTGTACCAGTGTCCCTGGTTTGCATATGAGCTTTCTAATGTTGTTGAAGACTGATCGTGTGAACCAATAAATTTCCCATCACTGTCCAAGCTTTGTTTTAATTCCTGAAAACTAAAAGAGATCCCCTTACACTGTTGGAGGCCTTAGATTTCAGCTCAAATCTCTCTGGGTATTCTGGAAGGTTGGTCTAGAAAAGCCCAAGCTCACTTCCATTTTATTTCATTTTATTGCTCTTTAAGTCTCACATTTAAGGATCTTTTTTATTTTTTTTTACCTTCATATTTTAGATTTAAAAATTCTTAGCATAATTCTGGACTAAGGTGCAGTATTTGTCCATGACAGAAAAAGCCAAGATGAAAGAGATTTCAAAAGTATGGAATGAGTCTTCTGCACCATGAACACTTTCATAGATTCAAAAGTAGAAGAATCTGGTGTTCAGGGGCTCTGTTTTTTAGTATCTTAAACTCTGAGGTTCATCTGTGTTCGAAATAATTATCTGAAATAATCTCCCTAATTCACTCCCTCATCAGTGTTAGCATTAAAGTATAAGCTAGAGAAGAAAATAGTATAACTGGGGCATTCTGCATATTCATAGATACATACATTCACATTCGCATTTGTAGCATAGTCTTAGTTACTATACTTTAAATAACACTTATCTGTATTTAATTACATATTTATATAAAAATATATTTGTAAAAAGGATTAATGTAAGATGTTCTCCTCTATGAAAAATCTGGAGATTGTTTCCAGAACACTTTGTTTTTATTCTAGATCTGATTTTATTGCAAGACTTGAAGAAAAACGTTAATTGATAATTTGCTGTCCTCAATAAGTGAATATTAATATTCCCTCAGTGTCCAATGTGCCTCTGTAGATGCAACACAGAGTTGAAGAGAAAGGACAGATGGGGTGATCAGTTGTTTCAAAAAGAATAGAACAACAAAGGAGACTAACGGTGCATATCATTATATCTAATCATATTAATAATAAGAGACAATGCTATTGGCTGTAATTTTTCTCAGGGCAAAGAACTTCTGAGAAAAATTCTCTGATATTCTTAACATTTTGAAATGCAGTGATAGGTAAAGAAGCTTGCAGATCAAATTGGCTCTTTTTGGGTTGTTACTTAAACACATAATTTTAGAGTTTAATACATCCTTTGGGATCAAAAGAGTCATTAAGAAGCCATTTATCTACAAGAAATATCAGCAAGAAAGCACTGAATCCAGATGGTTATAAAGTTTTATTTTAGGAAATATTCAGTGATAAAGTATACCCATTTTTAACTGAGAGTTGCAAATAGGCAGTGCAGCTATTTCATCTTAATTTAGTAAACATTTCCTTCTTGAAACTGAAGCAAGATGTGAATTTCCAAAAATGTGGGAATTTCCTCTAAGATGTGAATTTCCAAAAAGCTCACTTTATACTTTAACATGAATCTAGTAAGCCTCACACAAAATGTAAGATTGTTTTTTTAAAAAAAAATTTTTAAACAATGGAAAATCAGGCAAAATGAGAAGACTCTGTAGTTTACTTCCCCTCCCCCTGCTTGGATAAGAGTAAGTATCCAAGAATATAATAAAATGTATTGACTTGAAACATAAGTCTGATGGGAATAATACCAATGGCTTTTTAGAATAATCAGCCCGAATGTATAGGTTTGGAGGGAAGTACTTTAGCAATCAAAATATCTTTGCCATGATCAGGAAACATTTTTAGCCCTATTCTCTGATGGTGTATTAAGGTAACTAACATAGTGTAGTCTTCTAAACTTTAAATCTTACCCTAGAGAGGTCTAGTAAACTTCCGTTATTTTGCTACCTAGCATGTACCTTTCCTTCCTTCTGGTAGTGAATCCATAGTGTCTTTTCCTTCTCTATTCTCATCCCATGGGCTCCAAGGCAATTGACACCATCCCTGGGCTTCAGAGGAGGAGTAGGTGAATAAAACTAAGAAGAAAGAAAATTGCAATCACTTGTTTACAGTGATGGGGTCAGGGAAGAACCCATGATCCATGTCTAGCCAACCAGGGCCAAGGAGAGTCAATTCTGGAACTACTATTTGCATTATCCAGGAAGCAGTTTTCTCATGGGAGCCCCCAGGTGGAAGGTGATAGTGGAGATGTGTCTGAAGTTAGTCTATCCCTACATTGTTCAGGTACCCAAGCCAATATATAGTTTCTTTCTGAAATTTAAGTTAGAAGTTTGAGTTAATTTTCTACTGAGTACAGCAGAGTTCTTATTGATACATGAGATGAGAATAGAGATCAACTGGAGATCTTGTAAATATTACAGATTCTCAGACCCCACCCCAGACCAACTGAACTAGTGTCTCTGATAGGGGCCTAGGGTTTCATAGTTTAACAAGAGTTCCAGGTGGTTTCTATAATCATGATAGATTAGAAACACTTTCTCAGGGAATTCCTAGGGACTAGCAGTTGAATGTTACTCCATTTAGTGATAAAAAGTACATATTTTAGAGCTGACAGAAGTGGTTTCAAGGCCCAGCTGTTTGCATATGAATTGGTTGAATTGGGTGATTAATGGCAAGGTACACAAGTACCCTAGTTTCTGTTTCTTCACCAATAAACTTGCAGTGATAGTATTTTACACATAGGAGTGTTTTCTGTAGTAGGTGAGATATGTGCTGAGTCTCCCTTATCTGAAATACTTGGGACCAGAAATGTTTCAGATTTCAGATTTTTTTTGGATATTGAAATATTTTTATTATACCTATGAGCTGAACATTCCTAATCCAAAAATCCAAAATTCTAAAAGCTCAGACTTGCATTTCCTTTGAGCATTACGTCAGCATTAAGAAATGTTCAGGTTTTGGAGCATTTCCAATTTTGGATTTTCAGATTAGGGATGTTCAACTTGCAATTGACACAGAATGTTGCACATATTGATATTCAATTTTATTAGTGTTTATTATTTGTTTATCAGAGTAAGTCAAACTTCTCTGAAACACTGGGGAAACAGTTCAAATCGAAGACACTACAGTCAGAGTTTCTATTGAAAATAAACTAGAACTGAACAGTGGGCTACACCCAACATTGTTAAATATGTTAATTATATTATTTTTATCAAATACTTGACCTTAGACCATATATGGTACATTATTTCTTAAAGATGATGCAACAACAAATTGAATTCAACAAATTCATTCTTTCATTCTTTCAGTTTGACCTTCATGTGCAAAGTCATGTTGAAAATGCCTTTAGTGTACAAAGCACATTTAGGAAGGCCACAAATTTAGTCTGAAAATAATCACCTTTTGTAACTTTGGGTCTAAGGAGCATTCCAATTTGACCCAAGAGAATCCAGAGGAAGAAGCAATACCTTTACTTGCTGTAAAGTCTGGTCTAGAGGTCTTCTCTCTCGTTTAGATAGATAAATGTGACAGGAGAATGCCAGGATAAAGTTTTCATTTACTATTACCACGGAACAAGCACTATATTATACCAGCTGGCCACAGAATTCCTTCCATAGAAGAAATTCTTTGGGGAGAAAGAAACTTAATTAGCTTCTTGGGTTAGGAGGTGAGAGCCTAATGCTCTGAGTGTTAGTAATAGGCTGAACAACAAAACAGGTAGTCATGCTTCCCTGAGGGAAAGAACGAGAGGAATTTTAATTTTTGAAATATTCTATAAGGAATAGAACATAACAGAGACACCATGAAAGGAAGGGAAAAAGAGGGGAGTCTGAGAGATTTTGTAAGGGCAGGAGTTACATGGTTTCAGGGTCTGTGGAATTTTCCTTCTGAAAAACTGACTCAAGGATATTTTATAATAGGAATGTTTTTGGGAGGCCAAGGCAGGCAGATCACGAGATCAAGAGATTGAGACTATTCTGGCCAACATGGTGAAACCCTGTCTCTACTAAAAATACAAAAATTAGCTGGGCATGGTGGCACGCACCTGTAGTCCCACCTACTTGGGAGGCTGAGACAGGAGAATCACTTGAACCTGGGAGACGGAGGTTGCAGTGAGCCAAGATCGTGCCACTGCACTCCAGCATTGTGAATAGCGAGACTCCATCTCAAAAAAAAAAAAAAAAAGGAATGTTTGCATTGCTATAATTGATGGAAAACCCTCGTAGGCCCTCTCTTGTCTTCCTGTCTTCAACTGCATCTTCAGTAAAGTCTGCTATTTTCACTTCTATTTTGTTGTTGTTGTTTTAATGAGGAAATGGTTGCACCAAGAAGATACCCAACAGAATCTGGATGCCCAGAAACAAGACCTAAGATGACATTTCCTACTCTGCCCCTTTGGAAGTTCACAGAAGTCTTAGCGTGGACCTTGAACCCTCATCAGATGTAGAATTGCTGTTAGAATCCCCTACAGGTACAGTCTTCTCCTCATGCTCATATTTTTAGATCATAAAGGATATGTGAATGGCTATTTTCTGGGTAAAAGTACTTATAATACAGGTTGACTATCCCTTATCTGAAATACTTGAGACCAGAAGTGTTTCCAATTTTGGATTATTTTTGGTTTTGGGGTATTTTCATCATACTGGTAGTGTATCTCAAATCTGAACATCTGAAATCTGAAATGCTCCAATGGGCACTCCTTTGGGTATCATGACAGTGCTCAAGGATACTTTTACTAGCCTCTTTGAATTTGGCTTTTGTCTCTTCTTTTATTACATTTTAGAATTCGTGGTCTTGTGTGGATTGAGCTTTACACAATGGGGCAGGGTGAGAATTGTCATCTCAGAGTCTTGTTTCTGGGCAGCCAGATTCTGTAGGGTGTCTTACTGAGGTAACCATTTCCTCATTAAAAATGAAAACAACAATAAAAAAGTGAAAGTAGTAGACATTACTGGAAGCTGGGTTGAAGATAGGAAAAGAGGGCTCCAGGGGGGTTTCACATTAATTGTAGTAATGCAAACATTTCTATTAAAAAATGTCCCTGAGTCATTTTGTCAGAAGGAAAATTCCACAGACCCTGAAACCCAGCATATTAGTTTCCTGTGGCTACTATAACAAATTACCACAAATTTAGTGCTTTTAAACAACAGAAAATTATTATCCCACAGTTCTGGAAGCCAGAGTCTGAAATCTGGGATGAAATCACGTGTCACCTGGAGCAGCCTCTGTCCAGAGGCTCTAGGGTAGGATCCATCCCTTGCCTTTTCTGGCTCCTGGTGGCTGTCAACACTCATTAGCATGTGACTGCATCACTCTTAGCCCTGCCCCCGTGGTTACATTGCCTCCTCCTCTTCTGTGTCTGTGTTTAATATGTCTCTGTCTCTCTCATAAGGACACTCGTGATTATATTTAGGGTTCATTCAGAGAATACAAGATAATCTCCCATCTCAAAATCATTAATCATATTGGCAAAGACTCTTTTTCCATTCCAAGTAAGGTCAAATTGCAAGTTCCGGGTATTAGGACCTGAAATTTTTGGGTGCCAATTATTCAGCCTGTTAACACCTGGCCTCTGCTTCTCTATCCTCTTGGATGAGGGTGTGGAGTAGCCTCCTGCTTTGGGTCCTGAAAAGGTCCATTTTCTGCTGTAAGTGAGGGCAACCTTCACTCATGCAACTTTCCTGGAGTGTGTAATTATTGCACCTAGCCCAGAGGTTTTTTTCCTTAAGCCATAATGCTAGTTATTCTGAAAATTTATGACATAAAAGAATTTGATTTAAAAATTGCCCTGGTTGTCAGAAGAATCACTGCAATATTAGAGTTCATTTTAAAATCCAGTTAAATCCAGTTACCCTTCCAGTAACTTCCTCATTGTTCTCCTCTTCTTCATAGGAAAACTTCTCCAACAGAAATATGCACAGTATTTACTTTATAACTTCCCAGTCCATCTTTAATCTCCTCTAATCTGGCTTTCATCCCCACTCCTTTACTGAAACCATTTCACTACTCTTGCTTTGGTCACCAATAACTAGTAGGACCATATAAATTATCATTGAAAGGAGACACATTTGAAAGTGAAAGTAGATACTATATACTACTAAGTAACTGCATTAACTATACCGGGGCATGATGCACACCAGGACTATCCCAGGAAAACCAGAGGGTGTAGTTACCTAGCAATGACCTTCATGTTGACCATTTCAATCCACATTATTTTATTTTGTCTTGCCCAGCATTTTACCAACTTTTCAACACAGTTGAACTCTCGTTCCCTCTCTAGTACTCTTTCCATTTTTCTTCTGCCATACTAATGCTTTTTTCCTGTTAAAGGAAAATCCTGTTTTTTCCTGTTGTTGGAAAATCCTGTTTTTTCCTGTTGGCCATTCTTTCCAAGCCTGTTCATCTGATTGCTCCTACTCTACCCAATATCTATATTCTGCATTCTCCTAAGGCTCAGTTCCAGGTCTAAATCTCTCTTTATCATATACATTCCTATGGCTTTAGATGCCATGTGCTGGCAATTTCTAAATTTGTCTCCAGTACAGACCTTTCTTATATGTTTCCAATTTAAATATTCAACTGCATTTTGACATCTCCTCTTGGATATATTTAAAAATCATACTCTTTTTCTCTCACACATGCCCAAACAGTTTCTCTCCCAGTCTACTGCATCACAGAAAATGTTTCTATCAACTTAAAAGCCTGTTCACCAGAAACTCACTCCCATCCAATCCACCTGCAAGTATGTTTGTTTCTACCTCCAAAACACATTTCAAATGTACACATTTCATATATACCGATCCATTTCATGTCCTTCTCTTTACCACCATTGAATCCACCATCTCATACTTCCTGTAGCTTTCTTTTTGAATTTTTGTGCCATTTGGAATTTATTCTCCTCACAAGGTCCAGATTTATTTTTAATACATACATATAAAATTGATATATATTTTTATAAATAGTAATTTCATAAAACTTGTATTTACTTTAAATCTTGGTGCCCTGTGACTTCACAACCATTGACTCAAAGATTTCAATGACTTAAAGGAAATGAAGATACTGATATAATAGGCACACTGTGAAGATTTACAAAATATGATGTAGAAGAATTTTTACTAGACCTGAGAAGGAGGCAGAAAATGTGTATTGGACAATATGTGGTGCCTCAGAGGGCAGAAGTGTGCAGGGAGAAATAAAAATATTAAGAGGTTAGGTTGAAGGGTCCTGACACCCTGTAGAGGGTGAAACCCTAGGGCAGAGAGGCCAGGGATGATAGGAACTGTAGATAGGTAGGGAGGGAAGGCAAAACCAGAAGTCATTGGTCCATTGTGTTTTATAGAATTCTTGAACAGAAACATCTCAGAAAGCTAGCTACTGCTACAAAGGAAAGTGGTGGTTTGGTATGCTTGGGAGGGAGTGTGCTACTGTAGCACCCGCGTTGACACCTGAGGAATCTGGTAATTTTGGCACACTCTCAGTGGGGCATGTAGGCGATATCTGAGCTGAGAGTCTAGGATTTGCCATAGGATTATCATGGGCAGGGGAAGCTAACCCTTAAACAGAGATTGCATAGTAGACAACCTAGCTGGGGACCAGGTGGAGGACAAGGCTGAGACACAGATATTTAATGGCTCTGGAAAGAACACAGATGGGGCCAAGCAAGTGAGGGAGATCATGAGATGCTCCCACACTGAGAGAAAAGATTCTCAGTGTATGAGATGTGCCCAGAAGCCACTTTAACAAGGATTGTTTAAAAGAAGGGCCTTAGCAATAAGAAATTCAGCTGTGGCAGAGAGCTAGAGCTTTGAACATCGTGACTTCATCCCAAAGAGCTTCAGCTAAGCAGAAAGAGGCTGCTGTAGATGAAAAAGAAACCATAGGTTCCTTTCATTGGCAAGATTGAGATTTATCTTAGTACCCAACAAGAGCTGGGAATCATGGGCAAAATAGAAGACATTCCAGACACTAAAGGCTGTTACATGATTTTGCACATGTGAGGTAGTATATGTACAATTTTTTTACCTTGATACACATAAATTGGATGTTAACTTTCTTCTTCTTAGTGCCCCCAAATGACTTGCATTTCCTTTGGAATATAGACAGTAGCATGCATTGCAGGTACAGCATGATCTGGCCGAATCCTAACTCCTTAACTTCTTTGACTCCATTTCTTCCTCTTTGTCAATGAAAGGCAACTTCACTAACTGCCTGTCTGTTCTTTGCATAAGCCAAGGTTGTTCTCAACCCAAGAATTTGCTTATGCTTTTTCCTTTCTCTGGAATGAATGTTGCATCATCCCAATATTCACATGAATGACTCTTTTGTATCCTCTTCAGTTTAAGGGGATAAATGCCACCCTCATGAGGAAGTCTTGCCTGGTCTGAAGTGGCTCCATTCTTCTTTGATAATGGTGAATAACCTCAAAAGATACTATGTTTCTATAATACAACCTTAGTTTATAGCACTCTTCACAATTATAATTACTGCACTGATTTGTTCATTTGTTCTTTGTCTCCAAAAGTAAATTATAAACTCCATGAGAGCAGGGGTCATATTGACATTGATCACTGTTGTTTTTCCAACATTAGCTTAGTTACTGGTACACAATAAATACTCAAAAAGCATTTGTGAATGAGAAAATTAAGCTTTCATGCTCAGTGGTTTCTTATTGCTAACAGAATTACATATCTTGGACCATCATTACAAGATCTCCATTGATTATGCAAATGTGTTTCCCACCTTTTTTTCCCACAAACCATACACTTCTCCAAATAATAAAAAAAAATCCGACATACTTTAGTTTCCATATAAGTCTATAAATTCTAACCTTTTTATCTTTTTGCTCATATAGTTTCTTTCATCTGAATTGCCCATTTCCATCTCTAAAGTTTTAGTCTTTTTTATTATTTAAAGCTCTTCTCAATACCATGTTCCCTATGGGGCTTCTGTGAATTTAATTTGATGCTCTGTACTCTGATGAAAATTACTCTTTACTTGACTAAAGGTATCTAACTGTCTCATTTGAACTATGGTCATATACATACACATATATGTAGTGTATAACTATAGAAGATGTATAGTTTCATCCTTTGGTTCATTGGTACTCTTAGCATTGTGCCTTGTATGTGAACAAAAGGCTCTAAAATATTTTTTGGATATACTAAGGAAAAGTAAAACACTTTATAATAATACCATCCTTTGGAAATCTGCGTTCTTCATCTGCATACATGCTGGAAATTATACCTATAAAGTAAGAAACACACGTAAACCACAGAGCTGCTAAATTCCCATGCGCACTTTTTGAAACATATGAAAAGGTTCATAAATGTCAAGCAAAAGATTGAGTACAGAGACAGAAAGAATAGAAATAGAATTCATTAGGCTTTTGTCAAGAACCAGGAATTCTAAGGGCTTTGTACACATTGTCTAATTTAAAGTTAAGCCCACACCATCCCTATGAAGTAAATGTTACAGTTAGTTTTCTGAAACATCCTATTTAGGGAAGAAATAGGAATAATTCATGACAAATGAGTCACATCTACAAAATTGAAATGCTACCATTGTTAGGAGAGTTCCACATCAAAGAACAGTTTTAGCTTGAATAAAAAGAAAAAAAGTAGCTCAGGAAATCCACCACAGGTTCAAAGAATAGCACAAAAATAAAATTCTTAAGAAACGTTAAGATGGTGAAAAGTTGTTCTACTAACAGATATTTTGTCAAACTTATATGAAGAGTCAGAATAGATATTAGCAAAGACGGGGAAGTTAAAGGACTGTTATTAATTTATAAAGAAGAATGTTAATTAAATCTGAAAGGACTCTGGGAAAAATTACTTCTGTTATTTATTTCAAGCAATCTTTTGAACTGCTAATGAGAACATTCCAATTATCTCAGGAATAATTGCCTAACTATTTATTGCATCAAATTATGAATTTCAGAAGTTAAGGAGGATGAGAGCAATTAGTTACAAAAAAGGAAAAATGATATAACAACATGAAAATAAGAAATTGGTAAATAAGAAATAGATTAAGCTTAGAGTTAGAGAAATAAAAGGTAAGATATAATTTAGACTTCCGTAAATAGAAAGTAGAATAAAACTTAAGTCTTTTTTTTTTTAAAAAAGTCCAGGATTCAATAATTATGTTGATGCCTGTAAAGTTGCCCCTAACACAGCATATCCCAATTTCTTATTAAAATATCAGTGGACTCAGAAAAAAATGTATTAGAAAAGGAGGAGGAGGAGGAGGAGGAGGAGGAAGAGGAGGAGGAGGAGGAAGAGGAAGAAGAGGAAGAAGAGGAAGAAGAAAAGAAAAAGAAGAAAGAAGAAGAAATTAATATACAGGCCTGAAAAGCAAGCCCTCCCACACAACTCAGAAATGTTTTATTGATTTGTTTCACTATCAGGCCAATGAAACTTTGAGAAAAGCATGATGGATGAACCATCCTTGCCATATTTCCAGTGATCTTATGCAAAATGGTTTTTTAGTTCACAAAGTTTATATGAACCCCAAAATCTAGGCAGGGAGTCTGGCTGCCTCAAAAACATCAGGCATTCAGTAATTATTTATTTCTTCCTCTACTCTGTCTCTCCATTTATTTGGTTACTATAAACTGTCAGAACAGAACTAAGCAGAAGAAGTAAGAAGGGAACTAATCATCTTGAGTACATTTCTCATCTTCACAACCTTGTAGGCAGGCAAAGATAAAGGAAGCGATCTGGCATTTCTGAATTCTTGAGATTTGCTTCTTCTAAAATAATTCATTTGCGAATCAGAATACCAGGGAGAGGAAAGGAAGGACCTTCTATGGGTTCAGCAGAGTTATACTGGATGAAAGCCAGTGAGATACTGGAAACTTTCTGGGGTCTCTGTGTAACTGGCTATCTGGCTGTGAATCAGAAGTCACAGAACATAGCGGTGGTATAATGGGCTGAGGGCAATCCAGTTGCACAGGGGCTTGGCACTCATTGATCTGAAGAGACCGTCCTTCATTTGAAAGTAAATGAATAGATTAAAATATTTCAAACTGAAATAAACATAATAGGCTAAGGTAATGAGTTATAGTAGGTTTAGAGAACAATTATTTTACAAAGCCAGGAGATTATTTCATAGAAAACTATTAAGTTCACCTACATGCATATTAATACATCTTCCTATCTATATTCATTATAACATCATAGAGTATTTGAGGTAAGAGAGAATCTTATTCTTCAACCTCTCTAAAATCCTTCCCATAAAATATTTGCAGTGAAGAGAGTAGTTAAGTTTCTCCCTTAACCTTCTTCTCCCTAGGCCAGACTATGGAAATTTATCCAAATTTTTTTTTTTTTCAAATAACCAGTTTCCCATGCAGATAATGATCTCTGATAGCCTTTTGTGCAGCACAACATTCCTTTGTAGGTTGATTACATAAATTGAATATGATAGTGTAATATATATCTGACATAAAGTAGACTGAGGTATACGTTCTGCTTCTGTTTCTTGCATATCAATCTACTTTAATGTGTTTGCTGTTGCATATTTATAGTTCAGAAGCCTTAGAGGAAATATCAGTATTTATAGAGACGGTGCTGGAATATTCTTATATGGAGATTTTTAAAAATTGTGGTAAAATATACATAATGTAAAATTTACAATTTTAACCATTTTTAAGTGTACAAATGATGTACATTCATATTTTTATGTTATGATTCCCACCATCCATCTCTAGAACTTCACTCATCTTCCAAAACTGAAATGATGTATGCATTGAATGATTACTCTTGCTCCCAACCCCTGGTCCCTGATTACCACCATTCTCTTTTCCACCTCTGTGAATTTGACTTTTCTAGATTCCTCATGTAAGTGGAATCATACAGTATTTGTCTTTTTGTGACTGTCTTATTTTACTAAGCATAATGTCTCCAAGGTTTATCCATGCTCTTGCATTTGATAGTATTTCCTTATAAGGCTAAAGAATATTCCATTGTATGATTATGCCACATTTTGTTTATCCACCAATTTGTCTGTGGACAATTGGGTTGCTTCCATCTTTTGGCTATTGCAAATAATGCTCTTATGAACATAGGTGGTTGAATATCTGTTTGAGTCTCTGCTTTCAATTCTTTTGGGTATATGAGCAAAAGTGGAATTATTGGCTTCTATGGTAATCTGTTTAATTTTTTAAGGAACTGTCATACTGTTTTCCACAGTGACTACCATAAGTTTACATTTCCACCGAAACTGAACAGGGGTTGGAATCTATCCACATCTTTTAAGATCTTTAAATACATTTTTCCCTTCTATATGGGATGATAATGAATTGAAGAAAATGGGAAAGGCTAGATGAACTTTAAAGTTTCCACCTGTCTTGTCATCTGCAATGCATTGCTTTAAAATAATAACTTACTGAGAAGTTTTCTGCTTTCCCAAAAGAGTTAATAAAACTTTTATCAATATGTGACTTTCTCTTAAAGAATAGATTACATGCTGTGATGGTTAATACTGAGTGTCAACTTGATTGGATTGATGGATACAAAGTATTAATCCTGGGTGTGTATGTATGGATGTTGCCAAAAGAGATTAACATCTGAGTCAGTGGGCTGAGAAAGGCAGATCCACCCTTAATCTGGTGGGCACAATCTAATCAGCTTCCAGTGAATATAAAGCAGGAAGAAAAACCAACGTGAAAAGGAGAGACTGGCCTAGGCTCCCAGCCTATATCTTTCTCCAGTGCTGGACACTTCCTGTCCTCGAACATTGGACTCCAGGTTCTTCAGTTTTGAGGCTCGGACTGGCTCTCCTTACTCCTCAAGCTTGCAGACAGCCTATTGTGAGACCTTGTGATCGTGTAGGTTAATATTTAACATTAGGTCTCAGATATATATATATATATATGTATATATATGTGTGTGTGTGTGTGTGTGTGTGTATATATATATATATATATATATCGTGCAAACCAAAATATATATACACCAATAGTATATATGTGTGTGTGTATACACACACACTATTGGTTCTGTCTCTCTAGAGGGCCCTAATACACATGCCAAACTTAATCTTTCAATAATTGTAGCTATATAATGTTCAACACCTATGTGACCCCATATTCTGCTGCTGACACTATGAGAATGAAATATCTGGATGATGAAAAGAGTATTTTATTCATTTGTTGTTTGTGTGTTGAAATTGGATCACAGCTAGAAGGATCTTGCCTTGAGTGAATTCCCTAGAAACAGACCTTGCCATAAAGATTTGCATGAAAGTGATTTACTGTGAAGTGCTCCCAGGAGAAACCATTAGGGGAAGGGGGCAAGATAAAAAGGGAAGGGAGGCAATCCAAGCAAGGGTACACTATTACAGTGCACTATTGTGAAGCAGTAGCCCCACAGTCACTGTGGCTCAGCTCTACAGGGGTACTCTGGAGATAAATTGGGTTACAACTCAAAATTGTTTTCATCGGGGCAAAGGGGGTGCTATTTGAAAGGTCTAATCAGACATTTCCAGCTCTCCCACGCATGTAGGCAAAGACAAGTTCTAGCAGTCTTGGGAATAAAGAGACATGGTTATTGACTGGAGTGAAAGCACACTGGAAATGTGCATGAAAATGGCATAAGGGTCCACTTCCTTTAAAAATAATAACTTACTTGAGTATGAGGCAGAGAACTGATAGCTCCTACCACAGCTTTTAATAAAAGGTAATATTTATGCTATGGTTTTGATATCTGACCTCTCCAGATCTCATGGTGAAATTTGATCCCCAGTGTTGAAGGTGGGGCCTAATGGGAGAGGTTTGGGTCATGGAGGTAGATTCCTCATGAATGGCATGGTGCAGTCCACATGGTAATGAGTGAGTTCTTATTCTATTAGTTCCCAAGGGAACTGGTTGCTTAAAAGAGTCTGGCACCTCCTGCTTCTCTCTCTTTTTTTTTTTTTTTTTTTTTTGAGACGGAGTCTCGCTCTGTCGCCCAGGCTGGAGTGCAGTGGCGGGATCTCGGCTCACTGCAAGCTCCGCCTCCCGGGTTCACGCCATTCTCCTGCCTCAGCCTCCCAAGTAGCTGGGACTACAGGCGCCCGCCACTACGCCCGGCTAATTTTTTGTATTTTTAGTAGATACGGGGTTTCACCGTTTTTAGCCGGGATGGTCTCGATCTCCTGACCTCGTGATCCGCCCGCCTCGGCCTCCCAAAGTGCTGGGATTACAGGCATGAGCCACCGCGCCCGGCCCTGCTTCTCTCTCTTGCTTCCTCTCTTGTTATGCGATCTCTGCACATGTGGATTTCCCTTTCCTTTCCACCATAAGTGAAAGCCGCCTGAGGCCTCACCAGGAACAGATGCTGGCACCACACTTATTGTACAGCTCGCAGAACCATGAGCTAATTAAACCTCTTCTCTTTATTAAGTTACTCAGCTCAGGTATTCCTTTACAGCAACACCAATGGACTAAGAGAATGAATCTTAAGGATACAGACAAGCAAGGTTGTGGTTGTGTGTGTGGCACAGCATTTACTATAAATAACATGAAAAAAGAACTTTGTATCAAAACTTTATTTATTAAACAAAAAATGCACCATTGGAATAACATTTCTATAAAAAAATGAATATGAGACTGTTCTACAGTGTTTACAAAACCCCCTTTTCCTTGTGTAGTAGTATACAAGATCATGTGTAGAAACAGTCATTGTTTTAAACTGTAAGCAAGTTTCCTTTCTTGTAGAACAAGATTTACACTTAAATATTGCAATCACTAGTCTAATTTGGTTAACAATGCTAGAATCTGACAGTTTAAAGAAACTTTTTGTAGGCTCAAAATACCTTTTTGTTAAAAAAGGTGTTTTGTAACAACAAAAAATTTCTTTTCTCACTAAGGCTAGTTAAAGCTGTAGTATACCCATTTCTACCAAATAAACTTATCACTAGCACACTAACAATCTGTTTGAGTTGCAAAGCCCTTTGAATGAGTAGCACTGATCTGCAAAATGCTTTCAGAATTATTTAGGTTTGGTGTTATCTTCTTTGAATGACCCTAAAAAGGGAGAAGTGGCGATGATGGAACTTCAGTGAAGGCTTTGCCTGGACTGGACATCTCTTCATACTCAGCAATGGACAATTCATTTCCAAAGTGGTCCCTCTGAGGTATGGAACACTGCAGCTTTAACAGCCGTATCTAGATCCCAACCAGATCTCCCTTTTTATCATAAATTATCCAAAAAGAAGCCACTCTAAATAATAAATTAAATATTACTTATAAAAAGTACACCCCATACCCGCCCACCCTTCCCCCAAACAAGCTGACAATTCACAAAGTTCAGAATTGTCAGATTTACCCTACAATAATAAAAAACAGCATTTCTCCTCCTCTCCATCATTCCTTTCTTGCATCTGAAAATACATGTTCAGCACACAGTGAGATCCCTTGGCCCATGCCCCTGTGTTTATTAAATCTTGCAGAGTTTTGCTCTTGCTCTTCTACCAACAACAATCATAGGATGACAATGTACAAAGGCTCTCTATTGAGAGTAAGAGAAAAAAGTCCTTCAGAGAGTGCAACTGGAAGTCTGCCACGTGAACGTTATGCAATAGTGGCAACGAAGAGTCCAGATGAGTAGTAATATTCATTTGCTGATATGGGTGTGGTATTTTGTCTTTTACATAACCTCACTGACCAGGAAATTGGCATTTTTTTTCCCAAATCAATACTTTTTGGCAACAGGTATTTAGATAGCAAGATACATTGAGGCATGGGTACATATATTTTGCATTGGAATGGAATATCATACAAAACACCTATCTATGATTTTCCCAAGTATCCAATTTAATTTTAAACACTAGACTCAAATAAAAAGCTTTTCTGTACAATACTAAAGTGATTTCTGAAAGTCACCAGAGAAATGCAAATTATGAGTAAAATGTTGCTTTGAATGTGATTTACAAAAACAGAGACTTGAGTGTATGGCTGCTTCTGCATCTCCAGAAAGTTGTGGGCTCTGTATAGTATATGGTTATGAGCAGGTTAGGATAGTAACCTCTGGCCTGCAGGACTGCCTGTGGTTGCATGAAGGGAACTGAGTGAAAGGGAAAGTAACCCTGCTCTGCATCTATTTTAAAGTTCAGATGACTTTGTTTTCTTTAAACATGCCTGAAACTAGACAATTTTTCCATTTTTCTTTCTTTCATTGACTAGAAATGTACATTCCGAAACCATAAGAATTCTGGGACACAATTTTATCTAAAATGGTAAGATGTTATCTTTAGAGGTAACCTTTTGTTGTAATTACAGTCCAGCTGCTATATCTGAGATACCATATTACATTTGGGGACAACCATAAGATGATTATTTAAACAAAGTCAACAGAAGTACCCAAAGGGTGGATAAGTATCAGCAATCATCTTCAAGCACAGACACCAACAGCTTCCAGAAATACCTGTACTTAAGAGATTCTTTATTGGAAAAGCCAATAAGTGCCAAACATTTTAGTTTCAGAATGTTGTCTGAAACATCACACTAGCACAGGATGGCTCTCCTTGTGTAGCTGGAACCAAAGCAGGAGATTGAACATACACCTAATTTTGAATAATCCCTATTTTGAGGAAACTAAGAATATACTCAACAGGAATCCTTAATAAATCTCCACTTATATCACTGGCTTGGTATTTTTTTCAGCTCATTCAATTGAGTATGCATTTTATAATACCCAAATGTAAAACTTCATTATTTAAATATTCTAGAAGCTTATATCTCTGTTATTCAAAGAGGCAAGTATGACTGGTTTCTTATTGGCTATGATTCACTACGAAATATTTAACTTTTGGCTAGAGCATCATCCAAATATTCTTTATACATTTGAACTATCTAAATTTTTATAAGTTTCACAAATGCAGAAATTTCTGCAGAGGAGAGAAAATAGCTTTCTTATTAGGGTGAAATTTAAAGAAAAATACCATTTTTTTTAAAAAAAAGAGGATGTTGCCTGACATTTAAGCACATTACAGGGCAGACCAGAGAATGCTCTGCCAAATATGATTTTCTTCTTTTTCAGGGAGAAATGAGTTCTGGTGGCAGAGCGGCTGGTTGGCTGTCAGGTATCACCCAATGGGAATCAGAGAGAGTTATGAGCATAAAGAGTCCTGGATACCATGAACTAGACTCAGTAGGAGGAAGTCAGAGGCTAGTTTGCAGTATTCACAGGTTTCTTCTTGTCAAGAGATCAGGAGACTGGGAAATTAATAAGTTACCTGAAAACTTGGGCAGGCAATTATATACATATATGAATCATTTGAGGGTAAAGGGAACAGAGTTATACAAAAGTTGTGGTGACATCATTGTATATTAATACTACCAGGTAAATGATACTAGAGTTTTTTGAGGATGTTTAAATTGATTGTATTATAGATTAAATGCATGGTGCTAATACTGGCATTGCCAGTTACTAAGACAAACCATTCTATTTAATGAAGAAAGTTTCAAAAGCATGCAGCAGAAATATAACTTCCACTGAAGACAAATAACATGTATTTAAATGGATTTTTAAAAATTTTATTTCCTAAATAATTATTTTTGACTAGAAGGATCTAGAAATTTGTGAAAATGATAGGTTTTTTTTTTTTTTTTAATTGGTCAACTTCATTCTATAGATTGAAGGTGTGACTCAATCCCTAAAATCTGAGATTTGCAACCTATTCCAAACTGAGCACTCAGGATTACCCTCGTGGGTGTCAAGTGCCTAAGGAGAATGTTCCATGTTTGCTAGAATTAGAAAGGGGAGGTAATAATTCTTAGGGCCTAGAGAAGGTTGGGCTAGCCCAATGAATATTTTCTTTTTTGAAGTAATGGATTATTTCTGAATAATTCAATATTATGTTAGGAAACACTTTATTCCAGGTCAGTAGAAGGTTGTCTACCTAAGTGCCCAGATGTTAAATAAGAGTAGTCTGTCCCATAGAACAACATCACATAGCTCTTCAGAAAAGACTTCCAGAAAATCTGAGTAACTTGAATGAGCACTCTTGTTGAAGGAACAAATTCGCAAATGGACCGGACTTTCTAATGAACCATTTGAACAGCCCTCTCTTTGACATCAGATTTCCTTCCCGACATAAAACTGTAAAAAAATAAACTGAATTATTACTTCTGTTACAGTGCCATTTTGCTCAAAATATTTTATTCAGGGATTCATATATAATTACCCACCTAATAAAAGGAGCTATTAGGTTGTAAAGATCCTATCCCTTCCATGCTCTTTTAAAATTATGACCTACTCAAGCTTGAAATCAAAGGCAGAGCTGAAAGGAATAATTCAGCTGAAACTCTCTCATTGGGTTTTCAAGTCACCTAACTGATAAATATGCAAACTAGCTCCCTTTTGGCGATTCAGCTGCATAAACAGGGATTAACTCCAAATGCAGCTGAAAATTCAGAAACTAAAATGCTGCATACAAAATGTTCTTAATTTTAGCTAGTTCCAAGCTGTAGATAAACATGGCAATAGAAGTTTAAAACTGTAGTCCACAGTTTAAGATGCTGCTTTGAAAAGTATCTGCTGGATTTACATGTCGGAAGTGTCAGGTGGCACCTGCCCCTCTGCTTCCCCCTGACTCTGACACAGGTGTAGTGTAAAAGTTTCCCTTAACAAAAGGGTCTGGTGGCCAATGCTTGCCAACACTGACCCTGTAGGCAGAGTTGGCATTCTTTAAGAGAAGGTACTGTTAGAAGCTACCTTTTATTTTCCTTCTCTTCCTGCTCTCAGGGAGTCTGCCATTTCTACGGGATTAGAAGACAGGCGACATTGGCCAGTGCACCATATGACATGTGGAGCTGGCCATTTCACCCAACGCTAGTTGCCAAGGAGAACTCAGGGAGGGATGGGGTGAAGGGGTGGGGGCATTCTTCTGGCCAAACTCCTAAGGAAGATGGCCTTAGTGAAGCTTTGAAATTGTATCACAGTGTGGTATGGCACAAAAGCCACCCAAATTGAAAACTGTCCTATTACAAGCTTAAGCATATAATTACCATGTGTCTGAGAAGATTGCATATTATATCCTCTTTCCAGAAATGTACTGCTGCTGGCAGAATGCCACTAGTTGCAGATTTTTATATTCCTGGACTCCAGACATACATATTAACCAAGGGTGGATTTACAAATACTTGCCAAAATAGGTGAATTTTTAGCCACTCACTAATATCCACCACTTGTGCAAGATGAATGACTGAGTTACAAACATAAGCATTCTCTGCCTTTTGTTTGTTTACTATTTACTTTTTGTGCTGTAAGGAAAACATCCAATCCTTTGGTGCTATGGCATGAGAGATTCCCATGGGTGCTTTGTATGTTTAAGTTGAAAACAAAATAGTGAGCTTGCACTGGTTTGCCATGGCATGGTACAGGCTTAAATAATGCACTTGCATTTTGTAAGACTAGACCTACACATTAAACAACAGGCCTTGACAAAGGAAAACATAGGTATTAGTTATGACAGTGTGGTCACTGCAGTGACAAAGGCCCATGACTATTCTAGCAGCTTAAACTTTGACATTGCAGTGAAAATGCATCTTTGCTTTTGTTTAGGGAACTCATAATCATCATTTGACAATTCCTGATGCCTGTGAAAGAAGGAATGCTTATTCCTTCTGAACTGCTTCAGGATCTTCCTTAACTGAGTGGTCCTGATGGGTGACCTGTACACTGGTTAGAGTTCTTGGACACAGGTGTGCTGTTTATGGGTAATTGGTATGCTGCAAAGTTCCCGGAAAATTCACCTCATCCATTCAGAAATACATGTTAAAAGGCTGAGCCTGTGATGGCATTAAGCTGCTTCATGAGTCCTTCCAAACTTGCCATTTGTTCACTCAGATCATCCTGTTCATACACCTATAAAGAGAATGAGAGCCAAGAGTTAGTAACAAATATTGATCCATTTCTTTTATGAAGGCCGGGGCCACAGCTAGTTGGGGTGCTACGTATTCCCAAGTCTGACCTAGGAGACCACAGCCAGGGCTGTCCTTGGAATATACTCACTGAATGAAGATGCTGGTAATAAAAGGGGATAATAAGAGATTGCATATTGTTTCACCCACTCCATCTCCACCTGTGACAAGGAAGATGTTTCAGAGTCAAAAAGATTGGGTTTCAAATCAAGTTCTCCCAATTATTAGCTGTGTGGTCTTAGACAAGTGAGTGCACCTCTCTGATACGTAATTTTCTTCATCTATAAAATGATAATGACATCTATTTCATAGGCTATTCTGAGCCTCCTGTAACATGTTTAGTACCCATGATAGGGTCTGGCATATGGTAGATATTCAATACATTAGCTCCTGTTCCTCTTACTAGGTTAACCAAGATATGAACAGAATATTTTTTCTCTGTATCATGACATAGATACATTTTTTTTTGTATGTGAGAACTCAGCGGGCTTTGCCTTGGCCAATGAAACGTCTGGAGATTATGACTTTAGTTTGTGTGTGGAAACAAAATTCATGCCCCAAACCACAGTCAATCCTTTTTGGGACAATTTGAATGGTGGATAAAAGAAGAGGTTGAACTCCAGAATGCCTAGTGAACTGTCACTAATTCACTCTGTAAACTCACTCACTATAAGTCACTATTATCATGTCAGTAAGTAATAGAATTACTAGTTACCACAAATACCAGGTCGCTAGGCTTAGGAATTCTGTTTCAGAAGGTATGGGAAGAACCTAGACATCCTAATTAAAAGAAAAATTCCCAGGTAGTTTTGATAGTTAGCCAGATGGGGAAATAAGATGTGAAACTGATTTGAATCCCAGTCCTTTTATATACTTGCACATTTTATTTGAGTTAGTCTTCTTATTTGTGAAATGAGAATAACAAGTTTGTCTTTTGAGGAGTTAGGAGGATTCAACAAGTCAGGGCTGCCTAGTGGTAAGTGTTCAGTAGATGTTAGTTTTCTTTTTTTCCTTTCTTGAACATATTAGTTGACTTATACAGATGTTCTACTTATTATTCTTGGCTAGCGCATTCCATTGATTAAATGATTGAACCAATGAGGCCTGAGCCATGATTTCTAGCTCTGCATAGGCCAAGACACATTCCTTAGCACTATGATCAGAGATGTATATCTAATCTTGCCAAATAAGTACCCTTGATCTCAAGAGAGCATTGATAGAATTTGCATGGGTGGGAGGTAGGCACAAAGCTACTCCAGCCATTGAAAAAACAGCTCAAAATGTATGGTATTAATGTATGAGCTTCCTATAGAAATCTCAGCATGTCAGTGAATGATTCGGGCATACACTACCCAATCTTCAGGGCTTAATAGAGGACTGAAAAGTTTCCAATTTGGCTAAAAGCCTGTTTATATACATACAATGTGTGTGTGTGTGTGTGTGTGTGTGTGTGTGTGTGTGTGTGTGTGAGAGAGAGAGAGAGAGAGAGAGAGAGAGAGAGAGAAGTTGAAGTGAGGGGATTACTAGGCAACTCATTTCCAAAATGTTGTTTTCATTGTCTGGTTGTCGTTCTCAAACTGTCTAGATTTCATTGTATAATACGGCAACCACTAGCCACATGTAACTATTATATTCTTAAAATGTGCCTAGTCTCACCTGAAATGTGTTTTACATGAAAAAATACGTACCAGTTTTGGAACAGTACAAAAAAAGTAAAATACATTATTGACAATTTTAAATATTTATTGCATGTTGAGATGATAATATTTTGGAAATATTGGGTTAGATAAAAGGTATTAACTTCACCTATTTATTTTTACATCTTTTAATGTAGCTTCTAGTCAATTTAAAATTACACATTATGTTTTCATAGGCAAATGTTGGTCTACACTATTTGTCCTCTTTATTTCCTTTAATATGTGTTTCTTACTGCTTTTAATATTAATAAAGTTTAATATTTTAATTTGGCTGCCATTCTTTAGAGTCAACCTTTAATGTAAAAATAGGCCTACCTGACATGATTCTTTATGAGATGAGATACTTCATGTAAACTTAGAAGTTTGATTTTATTTGAGATGTGGCCACAAACCTTGATCCTAAACAGATATTGACATAAACAGCTATATTCTAACGCACAAAAGTGCATTAGAGTCTTATAAATTTGAATCTTTGAAAAGCATGTTAAGTAGATAACACTCATCTGCCAAAACATTTACAGACACACTCACATACTCAGCTTCCCTGATCTCTATGTCGTTAAAATATTTTATTGTTTGTAGTATTGAAAAAAAATTAAGTCAAGAAAAATGTATTGTTCTTCATTCAAATGAAATGATTCTTTGTTTTTAACAACAACCAGATATCAAAAGAAAGTATAATTTTTATAAAAGACCTGGTAGTTGCATTGCTTACAGAGGACTGATTAAATGTTACCTACTTATTCCTTGATATTGTTATAAATTTATTTTTCAATACATTATTTGCAAATTTTGCAGAAGACTTCATTTATGCATGAAGAAAACAAGCTAGTTGGAAGGGTGGCAGATTATTTTCATTTCATAATTTATGCTTAAAAAAGATCCAAATGTAATAACAAAATAGAATTTTAATCTGCTCTTTTCATCTTTTTTCTCTTCTAGTGCCCTGATTTTTCAAGATATCTGATATGTTAATTCCTTAGGCTTCTTTTAAATGTTTTCTCTTGAATTATATTCAGAAACAACTAAAGTGTACTATAAATAGCTGCCTTTAGGCAATGTCTTTTTGAATCTCCTTTACAGTGCATTTTCGGGATAAATGTTTTTTTTTTCTTAAAATTCTGATTTTTTCCCCTTCTCTATTGATGTTCCTTCTGAGTTTTCTAACTGGAACCCTTTTTAGCTTATTTCCTTAGTAAAACTTTTTCTGTCTTTAAATAAACTTTCCCTTCTTATTTTTTAATTACGTCATTTCCTTTTTGTATTACTTAAACTCCTTCAATTTTTTTATTTTATATTTTTTCCTTCACAAATCTATATTTCTGGTATTTTATGATTTCAGAAGTAACATATATAATAACTTCAAAAAGCCCTCATAATATAGCTTTTTGTCACTATATTTTTTTAATTTTAGAGAATAACTGTATAAGTTGGTGTAGTAATGTGCACCTATAGTCTTAGCTACTTGGGAAATTGAGGCAGGAGAACTGCTTGAGCTAAGAAGTTCAGGGCTGTAGTGCACTATGATTGTGCCTGTGAATAGCCACTACCCTCTAGCCTGGGCAACACAGCAAGACCCTGTCTCTTAAAATAAAAAAAAAAAAGGAAGAAGAAGAGTTATATAGTCTTATTTATTTCCAAGAATGCCAAGGTATTTCTTCCTATTGAAAAGAAACACACACACACACACACACACACACACACACACACACACACACACGTATCCATGTGTATATCATGTGTATATGTATATATTATGTACATATATGGGTGTAAAACCACACGTTCTGTAGCTATCTGGTCATATTTCTAAGACTGTCCTTAAGAATCAACTTTTTTACATAACTAAGTCTCTGACATAATTTTTTTTCATAGCTTTTATTTCCTCTTCATATTTAAGTGCAGGAAAACAAAGGAACAAACAACAATAAGAACAACAATGGCCTGGGGTGGCCTGGGGTGAATGGACAGTACTCATTGGTTTAGATGCTATTACACAGCGCCAGTCAATCTGTCCCTTGATGAAGCATGAATTTTAAAGATGCCCTTACATTGGCTGAATCCTCTGTTGGTTTGTGGCTCTCCTCAGACACTTCAGGGGCTGTTGGCACAGACACAGGAAGCAAAGGGGATCTTGCTTTTCCAGCCAACCCAAGGGAGGCTGTTTTCACATGGGTCTTAGGAAGAGTGGGCCCTGAAATAGAAAACACAGTGATGAAAGTAATGTAGAAAACATTCTGCAGAACACTTTCTCAAGTATATACACCATATCCAGGAGATTGGCATTGATTTTAGGTTATTGCTCATTCTGTAGTGTAAAGATGAATTCTGACACAATGAGTGGGCTCGTTTTATTTCTACTAAATGGAAGACAAATTCTGATTAGGCTTCTCCAGATGCAGCTCCACTAGCCATATGTAATTGCAAGTAGATTCCAAATCATGCTGTGGAAAGTTGCCTGGGAGCTCTGGACTGTTCATCACACCCTATAAAGTGTCAGGCAAGCTTATTTGGTGCCAGTCTCGGCTTAGGGCCAGAAAGCCCTGTGCTAAACCACCTAAATGAGCCCTAAGTTGCATAGCAGAACCAAGGAAGATTTGCAGAGTTAGAAGAGATGGTTGCTCTGGTCTACAAATGAGCATAAGACGTTAGAATAAAATAAAATCCATCATGGCTAATTTGATAGACTATCATTTTTAATTCTATTTTGGAACAAAAAAGATGTAATTCTGGTTTTTTTTGTATGGCTTTTGTCAATAAAAGACATTCTGCTGCTCATGAAAATCATAAGAGGCACTGCTGAGTATCAAATAGATGATATTTCTGTTTCCTATACATAAGGGCTGCCTTTTTGGAGGAAACTGAAATTTGCCTTATAAATTCTGCTTAGCTTGTAGCGCTAATACAACCTTGACCTTATAGCTGAAAATAAAACTTTCATAAAGGCTTATTGAATCAGCTAGTACACCTCACATAACTAAGGGGTTATGTCATTCTTAGCATTGTAACCAAGACTTCAGCAGAAAAGGTATTAGAGAAAGCCATGAAAAGACAGTGGCCTCAGTTCTCTTCTATCACGAGAGCTGACATTTTAGTCCTAATGGTTCTAATGGGGTCCTATATTTTGCCAAGAAAAAGTTGTTTGGACTACACTGTGGAAAATAAAATTCTAGCTAATAAAGCTCAGAGGTTACTCTACAATCAGATAAATAGGAGTCATCTGAAGGAAACAATGAAAATAATAAATAAATCTAATAAACCAGCAATCTGCTAGGTGCTGGTCACTAGAAATGGTAAATCCTGACATAAGCATCTTTTCCCATCCCGTGACCTAACATGAAATTTCTTCATATTTATACCTTTTCACTCTTGAACTTTAGGGATCAAAAGTCTGCAATTTGAGTGATTTATCATAAAAGGGTGATATTCTGTTCGTGGTACCTCTGATGAGAAGCGAAATGAAACATGAATCGTTTTCTTCAGAGTGGAAATAATATTTACTGAGTGCCTACAAAAGTCTAGATCTATGCCAAGCATTTTAGTTTCATTTTGGACAAAATAACATGGTGAGGGAAAATTTGGGATTCACAGTAAGTCCAGTCTGCATTTAGATCTGTGCAATTTCTTGTCAACTGAACCTGTCTTGGCCTGTTTTTCATCTGCAAAATAGGAATGATACTAGTAATTTGTTAGGATTAAATGAGATTATGTATTTAAAGTGGCTGGTACTTAGTAACTTGTTCAAAGAGGGCTAACTATTCACGCTGTGAAAAGTTGCCTGGGAGTTGGTGCCAAAAATAGTTATCCAAATGAGGGCTATTTTTAATATTAATCATCTTATTATAATATTATATATTACTATTTTTCAAAACAATCCTGCTAAGTATTCTTATTCTCAGTTCACACATGGGGGTGCCAAAATAAAGACAAAATAAGTAACTTGCCTAAGTTCGCACATTTAGGAATGGGCAGGCGGTGTAAGAATTTTGCACCAACATCTGTCTAACTCCATGGAGCAAATGAAGGATGATCACTAGCTTGTTGACCTAGCCCATCCAATTTACATGGGTTTTTTGAGGAAGCAACATAAATGAACATGAAATCTAGTTCAAGGACTATAAATCTGGGGATAAAAGCTCATTTTTTATCATTGTTTCTCATAACTGACTTGGAATTTAAAGGGAAAAGTAAGACTTTAATCAACTCCAGCATTGACTTAAAATACTGTATTCCAATATTTTTAAAATATATACAAACATAAAACTTGCTATAAGCATCATACCTTATAGTGCTTATCCTATGCTATAAAACAAAAACACATTTAAAGTTAAACAGAAAGCCCTGTGAAAATAGTACAATTTGGATTATAATCATTAATTTAATATGATAAATGAGATTGTTGGGCTAAAACAAAATTGCCATATGAATTTGATACTGTTGCTATATTACAATCATTTTGGGTTTGTCATTCACGCCCAGTTTTCATTATGAACATTTTCCTTCTTTTTTTTTTCATGTATTCAACAACTTATTTATTTTTAATCAACAAGGAAAAACAGTATATATTTATGGTGTAAAACAATGTTTTGATACATGTATATACATTATAGAATGGCTAAATCAAGCTATTTAACATATGTATTACTTCACATACTTATGTTTTGTGTTGAGAACACTTTCAATCAATTCTCAGCAATTTTTAAGTATACAATATATAGTTATTAACTCTAATCGCCACAATATACAATGGATCTCTTGAACTTATTCCTCCTAACTGAAATTTTGTACCATTTGACCAACATCTCCTCAATCCTCTCACCTCACAGCCTCTGATAATCATAATTTTACTATTTCTTTTTTTATTAATATAAATTTAATACTTTTCTCCTGCCTCCCCCTTCTTTTTTTCTTATACTTTAAGTTCTGGAGTACATGTGCAGAATGTACAGGTTTGTTACATAGGTATACATGTGCCATGGTGGTTTGCTGCACCCATCAACCTGTCATCTACATTAGTTGTCCTAATGCTATCCCTCCCCCAGCCCCCTGCCCTCCGACAGGCCCAGTGTGTGATGTTCTCCTCCCTGTGTCCATGTGTTCTCATTGTTCAACTCCCACTTATGTGTGAGAACATGCGGTGTTTGGTTTTCTGTTCTTGTGTTAGTTTGCTGAGAATGATGGTTTCCAGTCTCATCCATGTCCCTGCAAAGGACATGAACTCATCCTTTTTTATGGCTGCATTGTATTCCATGGTATATATGTGCCACATTTTCTTTATCCAGTCTGTCACTGATGGGCATTTGGGTTGGTTCCAAGTCTTTGCTATTGTGAATAGTGCTACAGTAAACATACGTGTGCTTGTGTCTTTATAGTAGAATGATTTATAATCCTTTGAATCCAGTAATAGGATTGCTGGGTCAAATGGCATTTCTAATTCTAGATCCTTGAAGAATCACCATATTGTCTTCCACAATGGCTGAACTAATTTACACTCCCACCAACAGTGTAAAAGTGTTCCTATTTCTCCACATCCTCTCTAGCATCTGTTGTTTCCTGACTTTTTAATGATTGCCATTCTAACTGGTGTGAGATGGTATCTCGTGGTGATTTTGATTTGCATTTCTCTAATGACCAGTGATGATGAGCCTTTTTTCATGTTTGTTGGCTGCATAAATGTCTTCTCTTGAGAAGTGCCTGTTCATATCTTTTGCCCACTTTTTGAAGGGGTTGTGTATTTTCTTCATGTAAATTTGTTTAAGTTCTTTGTAGATTCTGGATATTAGCCCTTTGTCAGATGGATAGACTGCAAAAAATTTCTCCCATTCTGTAGGTTGCCTGTTCACTCTGATGATAGTTTCTTTTGCTATGAAGAAGCTCTTTAGTTTAATTTGATCCCATTTGTCAATTTTGGCTTTCATTGCCATTGCTTTTGGTGGTTTAATCATGAAGTCTTTGCCCATGCCTATGTCCTGAATGGTATTGCCTAGGTTTTCTTCCAGGGTTTGTATGGTTTTAGGTCTTACATTTAAGTCTTTAATCCATCTTGAGTTAATTTTTGTATAAGGTGTAAGGAGGGGTCAGGTTTCAGTTTTCTGCATATGGCTAGCCAGTTTTCCCAACACCATTTATTAAATAGGGAATCCTTTCCCCGGTGCTTTTTGCCAGGTTTGTCAAAGATCAGATGGTTGTAGGCGTGTGGTGATGTTTCTGAGACCTCTGTTCTGTTCCATTGGTTTATATCTCTGTTTTGGTACCAGTACCATGCTGATTTGGTTCCTGTAGCCTTGTAGTATAGTTTGCAGTCAGGTAGCATGATGCTTTCAGCTTTGTTCTTTTTGCTTAGGACTGTCTTGGCTATAGGGGCCCTTTTTTGGTTCCACATGAAATTCAAAGTAGTTTTTTCTAATTCTGTGAAGATTTTCTAACTCAACAATAGCCAAGACCTCATTCATACAGGGACTGTAATGTCAGGTGGTCTTCACTGGATGTGAATGGTTTACCTCTACTCACACACCATTTTTTTTTTTTTCCAAACTTCTGACTATAACCACGGTGTTCCTGGTGCCATCTTAATTGTAAACCCAAATAGGAAGGCAGCCACTAAAAACCTTGGCAGGTACAGATAACCCAGCATGTGAAATTCATGTTGATATTTTAGGTTATTATTTAAGTGAAGGCATAAAGTTTAAAAAGGAATTCACAAAGTTTAAAAGCTTTAAAAAGAGGCATAAACCTTGAGAAGGTATCTACCAACCACATATTTTGAATTGTGTTGCCTGAATTTTGTTTGTATGCCCTTCAAGAATGCTTGCAATGTTCTGATTAAACCTGAATTTATAATAGTCACAAAAGCTGTTCCTCTTAGCACCTTCCAGAAGCTAGCTCTTATCCATTCCTATGTTTAACACAGCAGCTGCATTTTAAAAATGAACATTTGTCTCTATATATTTTTTCACACATCTTTTACTTATTTTTGACCTAGACTCCCTTGATCATAAAACCTATTTATTTTATTTTAAATTTTTCATTTTAAAAACATGTTTAAGAAACTCAGCTACTTCTGAAAATTTACAATTTAATATGTAACCAAACACATGCAATGCATGTTTAACACATTCTGAAAATCAATTCACTCTAACATAGGTATCTACAATAAAAAGTGAAAGGCATAGGCATAGCTTACTATGTAGGAAATTCAAGTAGGGCCAGTGCCTGTTCTGAGAAACGTAAAAGTAAAGATTCTTTTAGAATATACCAGACTGCTGTATATAATTCCATAACATGTACTTCATCACAATTTTTTTGTCAGTTTTACATGCAGAGAAATGAATTCCTAGGCATAGCCTACGGTTATCACGATGGAAATACATTCTTATGGTGTATTTTCTTCCCAGAATTCCAAACACTTAGGTGTATTGCACTATGTGTATCATACTGCATCAACCACACTCCTATTATTACAATAGGGCATGGACATGCCTAAAGACTACCATCCCTCAAACTCATTAGAAAGTTCATTATAATAATTGATTTTCTCTAGTGCCCAGGCAACAGTTATGCATTCAAAATGTAGTGAGTGTTGAACAAATGTACAAGACATGGTGAGCCTCACAAAAGGAATCGAAGACATTGTCTCGGCTCAAAGACCGCACAGAGTGTTTAAACCTCAGATGACTGCCTTTTCTCAAGTAATATTCATAGAATCACAGAAATTTAGAATGCCGGAACCACGAGGGCTCTTGGAGCTCATCGAATGACCTTCCTTTTATTTTGTTGAAGAGAATACTGAGGTCCCTGGAGAGGAAGGTAGAATTAATTTCAATAAAATTCTAGTAGAGACAAAGAATTTAAACAGCCTCCCAGAGTTCATTGTCAGCAGGATTTGACTGGGACACTCTATGGACTTAATATTTTTCTTTCCTTTCCTTGAAAGGGCAATTAAAGGAAAGAGTATGAGGGAAATTTCCCAGGAGAGATTTATTAACAACTAATTAGGCAACCGTGGTCTCAAAATTGCCCTTTAGTTAAGGAGAATAAATGTTTGAAAACCAAGATTTCCATGAAAACATCCTTTGTCGGAAGGCAGACACCATGTTCCTGGTTGTGCATAACTCCATCCCTACATGATGTTTGTATTTTTTTGTGTGTAGATTCAGTGTTCAATATTTCAAGCTTGTGCACTGGTGAAATCTGGGTCCCTACAAGCTCACCAAGCAGTGCTTTTTCCTTAAGTGCTTGTAGCTCACCAAGCATAAATGGCTTCTTTCTTGATTTTCTGGTCTGCATCTCTGTTCTTTCATGGGGCTATGAGACATGCCTTTAATCTTTTGCCTTGTGCCTGAGACCTGATCAGTCACCTTCCCGTGTGTCTAAATTCTCAATCCATCTTCTACACCATTTAAACCAAATGAACATTTTTATGTAAAATAATCAGTCTGCTGGTATGGACTATGTTCAAATGAGAAGGCAATGTAGTCGTCAGGCATGTGGATTAGTGAGTGAGGCCTGGAGCATGGTCCAATCCAAACAGGATACTGGACACCATATTGCGGCCTCTCATCTGCTGATGGACTCACTGCTACTGTCGGGTGACTATTTGTCCTAACCCCGATCTGTTCCTCCACATGAAGCTTTCCTAGATTTCAAAGACTTTGACATTGAAATGGGGCATTGCCACACTTCCTGGGAGACTAACTGGTTTTTTTCTACACTGCTTTCAGAAGCCAGGTTTAAAGCCCACTTTGTTTATGCATCCCTGGCCTCACCCATTCTTGGTGACTCCTTCTTGATAATGGACTGCCTTGAGGCATGAGAGCCTTTGGTGTGCCTGGCAGTGTTTTGACTCACTAGAAGAGAGCCACCATCCTACCCAAGAACTAATAGAAATTATGGCAATTAGGAAAAAACACAAAAACAAACTGAAAACTTATTACTTTGGGATATCAAAATGCTGTTCTTTAATGTTAAGAAATGATAGAATTTTTGATGACTTTTTCTATGTTGGTAGATCTAGATTGTAGCTACAGGGAAAGCTTCATATTTATTTATTCACTTTGGAGAACAACACTTAACACTGACAATTGGCCTAAACATGAACGCTTTTCATAGAACTTCTATGAGCTCTATCAGAAACATATGTCAAAGGAAAAATAAAAATGAAAAGAATCTCTTCCATGGCTCCTAGCTGTGAATATAATCTCAATTTTGGAGTCAGCATCCTCTGGGATCTCTCCCAAATATGAAAAGTGATTTTCAAAATGTGGTTAAGAAAAAAAAAAAAAACACTTCATTTTGGGAGAGGGAGGTGCTCAAGGCTGGGTGGGAGCTAGTGAGAAGAGGATCAGTACTGGGGCTCTGAGAAGTTGGAAAAATCACCTTTCATTTTGCAAATAGGCCTTGAAAGATGAAACGTTTCCCACTCTGAAGTCTAAGCTGATCTATATTATTATTTTCAATGATGGTAAACTGTGTGTGATCTATACAACAAATTCCAAGTATTTAATGAGTGCTCAAATAAATATTCCAGATACTGAGGAAGCATTTTAGCCTAGGACCTAGTTTTGTGACCTTGGCTCGATAGTCTAATTTCTTTGGATTTTGGGGTCTGTATGTCTATAAATGTAAGAAATTTAATTTTTAAGTTATTAGCTATGAAAATTACACAAGGATAATATAGCTATTCTACCTGTACTTAACTTTACATTTGGATTTCTTGCCTCTCCTTAAGACTTAGGAAGAATTAGTTGATCCATTGAATCTAAAGGAATCTCCAGCCAGTTAAAGCTTAACTCAAATTGCAATAATTTATTTTTAAACTAGTGCTTTGTAAAAAATAAATGTTCTGTCATTTTTTTCTTAAAATTATTAGTGAAAAGCTATACCAACAATTAAGGTTTTACTGCTTTTGTATTTCAAACAGATACTCTAAAAATAAGTGGTATTACGTTTCTGAGGTTAAATGATCCATGGCTAATTGACAAATTTAAATTTACGAATGCTCAATCTGAAGCCACTGCAGAATTTCCCCTATCCAGGGTGCATGTTGGAGAAGTTTCAGGCGACCCTTTGGTGGAACGCTGGCTGTTGATGTGCTAAGTAAATGTTCTTACACTGATATACAACTAATTAAGTGAGCATCGCTTTGGTTTTAGTGTTATCTCCTCAGCAGGACCCACTAAGAGGAAAAAATAAAAATGGGCTGGAGTTCTGAGATGGGCTAGCAGTGTGCCTCAGGTGCAGAAGAGCAGCCTCAGCAGGAATTTACTGTTTTAAGCTTCATTTTCACAGTACAGTTATTAAACATTTCATTTACTCATTAGGTACATAACATAGGACTGCCAGGTGCAGACTCCTGCTAGCATCTCTCTGCAGAAGGTTTTCCCATGTAAAATAATTTTTTGGGGTGAGAAACATTAGGCTGCAGCCGGAATGCTCTAAAAATGCTCACCAGGGTCCGATCAGAGGCCAATGCACAGCATGGTTTTGATTTCACTATTAACTCACATCTTCCCCACTTTTTCCTATTTCCTACTTCATTTTCCATTCCTTTACCCTTAAGAACAAAGTTAAAAAGGGTGGCTTTGAAGAAGCCTGGGTTCTTATCTCTGCTTTGTCTCTGATCCATTCTGTGATGCCAGACAAAATGAAATGGACTCTCTCAGTCTAGTTTCCCTGTGAACCAGAATATTATTCTTATATATACTTATTATTAAGTAACTAGCCTGTGCTCGGGTTATCTGGGGGCAGATATAGAAGTGTCACATAATCATTTACACTTCTGATAGGCAAGGAACTTTTGAGGGCATGGGAGAAATAAAAGATATGTATGGGAAACTTTGTGTAATACTCTACCCTTTCATCTTCAACAAATATTGAACAAAAAGAGAGTAGCCGCATTTACTCAGACACAATAGCCTCAGGCATCCCTCATAAGTGATCGAATTTCAAACTATAAATTTTGCAACAATCTTAAGGCATTTTAGTCTACCATGTGAATTGTACTTTAAGGGTGATAAACATCTCTAAATGCCACTTCTGGGGAGAGAAACATTGTGTTCTTCTCCCAACCTTCTTATTTCTCCTCAAAAATAAGGGAAACAGCCTATTTGACCACTGGGGACGTGCTGATGAGGTGCCCTGCTCCCCTCTCTGCTCCTTTCTCCTCCTCCCATTGTAAGAAAGGGCTACTCTGAGTCACAAGTAACGTGGCTTTCATTGGGCCACCTGTCTGTGAAAAATGAGACGAGAGGGTTAAGGTACTAATGGTTACTACTCAAGTTTTTAAACCTGCTTGGGCTTGACATTGGGCATTGACATTGAAGACCCTATATCCTTTATTATTATTATTATTATTATTATTATTATTATATTTTAAGTTTTAGGGTACATGTGCACATTGTGCAGGTTAGTTACATATGTATACATGTGCCATGCTGGTGCGCTGCACCCACTAACTCGTCATCTAGCATTAGGTATATCTCCCAATGCTATTCCTCCCGCCTCCCCCCACCCCACAACAGTCCCCAGAGTGTGATGTTCCCCTTCCTGTGTCCATGGGTTCTCATTGTTCAATTCCCACCTATGAGTGAGAATATGCGGTGTTTGGTTTTTTGTTCTTGCGATAGTTTACTGAGAATGATGATTTCCAATTTCATCCATGTCCCTACAAAGGACATGAACTCATCATTTTTTATGGCTGCATAGTATTCCATGGTGTATATGTGCCACATTTTCTTAATCCAGTCTATCATTGTTGGACATTTGGGTTGGTTCCAAGTCTTTGCTATTGTGAATAATGCCGCAATAAACATATGTGTGCATGTGTCTTTATAGCAGCATGATTTATAGTCCTTTGGGTATATACCCAGTAATGGGATGGCTGGGTCAAATGGTATTTCCAGTTCTAGATCCCTGAGGAATCGCCACACTGACTTCCACAATGGTTGAACTAGTTTACAGTCCCACCAACAGTGTCAAAGTGTTCCTATTTCTCCACATCCTCTCCAGCACCTGTTGTTTCCTGACTTTTTAATGATTGCCATTCTAACTGGTGTGAGATGGTATCTCATTGTGGTTTTGATTTGCATTTCTCTGATGGCCAGTGATGATAAGCATTTTTTCATGTGTTTTTTGGCTGCATAAATGTGTTCTTTTGAGAAGTGTCTGTTCATGTGCTTTGCCCACTTTTTGATGGGGTTGTTTATTTTCTTGTAAATTTGTTTGCATTCATTGTAGATTCTGGATATTAGCCCTTTGTCAGATGAGTAGGTTGCAAAAATTTTCTCCCATTTTGTAGGTTGCCTGTTCACTCTGATGGTAGTTTCTTTTGCTGTGCAGAAGCTCTTTAGTTTAATTAGATCCCATTTGTCAATTTTGTCTTTTGTTGCCATTGCTTTTGGTGTTTTCGACATGAAGTCCTTGCCCATGCCTATGTCCTGAATGGTAATGCCTAGGTTTTCTTCTAGGGTTTTTATGGTTTTAGGTCTAACGTTTAAGTCTTTAATCCATCTTGAATTGATTTTTGTATAAGGTGTAAGGAAGGGATCCAGTTTCAGCTTTCTACATATGGCTAGCCAGTTTTCCCATCACCATTTATTAAATAGGGAATCCTTTCCCCATTGCTTGTTTTTCTCAGGTTTGTCAAAGATCACATAGTTGTAGATATGCGGCATTATTTCTGAGGGCTCTGTTCTGTTCCATTGATCTATATCTCTGTTTTGGTACCAGTACCATCCTGTTTTGGTTACTGTAGCCTTGTAGTATAGTTTGAAGTCAGGTAGTGTGATGCCTCCAGCTTTGTTCTTTTGGCTTAGGATTGACTCGGTGATGCGGGCTCTTTTTTGGTTCCATATGAACTTTAAAGTAGATTTTTCCAATTCTGTGAAGAAAGGCATTGGTAGCTTGATGAGGATGGCATTGAATCTGTAAATTACCTTGGGCAGTATGGCCATTTTGACGATATTGATTCTTCCTACCCATGAGCATGGAATGTTCTTCCATTTGTTTGTATCCTCTTTTATTTCCTTGAGCAGTGATTTGTAGTTCTCCTTGAAGAGGTCCTTCACATCCCTTGTAAGTTGGATTCCTGGGTATTTTATTCTCTTTGAAGCAATTGTGAATGGGAGTTCACTCATGATTTGGCTCTCTGTTTGTCTGTTGTTGGTGTATAAGAATGCTTGTGATTTTTGTACATTGATTTTGTATCCTGAGACTTTGCTGAAGTTGCTTATCAGCTTAAGGAGATTTTGGGCTGAGACAATGGGGTTTTCTAGATATACAATCATGTCGTCTGCAAACAGGGACAATTTGACTTCCTCTTTTCCTAATTGAATACCCTTTATTTCCTTCTCCTGCCTAATTGCCCTGGCCAGAACTTCCAACACTATGTTGAATACGAGTGGTGAGAGAGGGCATCCCTGTCTTGTACCAGTTTTCAAAGGGAATGCTTCCAGTTTTTGCCCATTCAGTATGATATTGGCTGTGGGTTTCTCATAGATAGCTCTTATTATTTGGAAATACGTCCCATCAATACCTAATTTATTGAGAGTTTTTAGCATGAAGGTTGTTGAATTTTGTCAAAGGCTTTTTCTGCATCTATTGAGATAATCATGTGGTTTTTGTCATTGGCTCTGTTTATATGCTGGATTACATTTATTGATTTGCGTATATTGAACCAGCCTTGCATCCCAGGGATGAAGCCCACTTGATCATGGTGGATAAGCTTTTTGATGTGCTGCTGGATTCGTGTTGCCAGTATTTTATTGAGGATTTTTGCATCAATGTTCATCAAGGATATTGGTCTAAAATTCTCTTTTTTTGTTGTGTCTCTGCCTGGCTTTGGTATCAGAATGATGCTGGCCTCATAAAATGAGTTAGGGAGGATTCCCTCTTTTTCTATTGATTGGAATAGTTTCAGAAGGAATGGTACTAGTTCCTCCTTGTACCTCTGGTAGAATTCGGCTGTGAATCCATCTGGTCCTGGACTCTTTTTGGTTGGTAAGCTATTGATTATTGCCACAATTTCAGATCCTGTTATTGGTCTATTCAGAGATTCAATTTCTTCCTGGTTTAGTCTTGGGAGAGTGTATGTGTTGAGGAATTTATCCATTTCTTCTAGATTTTCTAGTTTATTTGTGTAGAGGTGTTTGTAGTATTCTCTGATGGTAGTTTGTATTTCTGTGGGATCAGTGGTGATATCCCCCTTATCATTTTTTATTGTGTCTATTTGATTCTTCTCTCTTTTTTTCTTTATTAGTCATGCTAGTGGTCTATCAATTTTGTTGATCCTTTCAAAAAACCAGCTCCTGTATTCATTAATTTTTTGAAGGGTTTTTTTTGTGTCTCTGTTTCCTTCAGTTCTGCTCTGATTTATTTCTTGCCTTCTGCTAGCTTTTGAATGTGTTTGCTCTTGCTTTTCTAGTTCTTTTAATGGTGATGTTAGGGTGTCAATTTTGGATCTTTCCTGCTCTCTCTTGTGGGCATTTAGTGCTATAAATTTCCCTCTACACACTGCTTTGAATGCGTCCCAGAGATTCTGGTATGTTGTGTCTTTGTTCTCGTTGGTTTCAAAGAACATCTTTATTTCTGCCTTCATTTCGTTATGTACCCAATAGTCATTCAGGAGCAGGTTGTTCAGTTTCCATGTAGTTGAGCGGTTTTGAGTGAGATTCTTAATCCTGAGTTCTAGTTTGATTGCACTGTGGTCTGCACTGTTATAATCTCTGTTCTTTTACATTTGCTGAGGAGAGCTTTACTTCCAAGTATGTGGTCAATTTTGGAATAGGTGTGGTGCTGAAAAAAATGTATATTCTGTTGATTTGGGGTGGAGAGTTCTGTAGATGTGTATTAGGTCTGCTTGGTGCAGAGCTGAGTTCAATTCCTGGGTATCCTTGTTGACTTTCTGTCTTGTTGATCTGTCTAATGTTGACAGTGGGGTGTTAAAGTCTCCCATTATTAATGTGTGGGAGTCTAAGTCGCTTTGTAGGTCACTCAGGACTTGCTTTATGAATCTTGGTGCTCCTGTATTGGGTGCATATATATTTAGGATAGTTAGCTCTTCTTGTTGAATTGATCCCTTTAGCATTATGTAATGGTCTTCTTTGTCTCTTTTGATCTTTGTTGGTTTAAAGTCTGTTTTATCAGAACTAGGATTGCAACCCCTGCCTTTTTTTGTTTTCCATTTGCTTGGTAGATCTTCCTCCATCCTTTTATTTTGAGCCTATGTGTGTCTCTGCATGTGAGATGGGTTTCCTGAATACAGCACACTGATGGTTCTTGACTCTTTATCCAATTTGCCATTCTGTGTCTTTTAATTGGAGCATTTAGTCCATTCACATTTAAAGTTAATATTGTTATGTGTGAATTTGATCCTGTCATTATGATGTTAGCTGGTGATTTTGCTCGTTAGTTGATGCAGTTTCTTCCTAGTCTTTGATGGTCTTTACATTTTGGCATAATTTTGCAGCGGCTGGTACCGGTTGTTCCTTTCCATGTTTAGCGCTTCCTTCAGGAGTTCTTTTAGGGCAGGCCTGGTGGTGACAAAAATCTCTCAGCATTTGCTTGTCTGTAAAGTATTTTATTTCTCCTTCACTTATGAAACTTAGTTTGGCTGGATATGAAATTCTGGGTTGAAAATTCTTTTCTTTAAGAATGTTGAATATTGGCCCCCACTCTCTTTTGGCTTGTAGGATTTCTGCTGAGAGATCAGCTGTTAGTCCGATGGGCTTCCCTTTGAGGGTAACCCGACCTTTCTCTCTGGCTTCCCTTAACATTTTTTCCTTCATTTCAACTTTGGTGAATCTGACAATTATGTGTCTTGGAGTTGCTCTTCTCGAGGAGTATCTTTGTGGCATTCTCTGTATTTCCTGAATCTGAATGTTGGCCTGCCTTGATAGATTGGGGAAGTTCTCCTGGATAATATCCTGCAGAGTGTTTCCCAACTTGGTTCCATTCTCCCCATCACTTTCAGGTACACCAATCAGACGTAGATTTGGTCTTTTCACATAGTCCCATATTTCTTGGAGGCTTTGCTAATTTCTTTTTATTCTTTTTTCTCTAAACTTCCCTTCTTGCTTCATTTCATTCATTTCATCTTCCATTGCTGATACCCTTTCTTCCAGTTGATTGCATCGGCTCCTGAGGCTTCTGCATTCTTCACATAGTTCTCCAGCCTTGGTTTTCAGCTCCATCAGCTCCTTTAAGCACTTCTCTGTATTGGTTATTCTAGTTATACATTCTTCTAAATTTTTTTCAAAGTTTTCAACTTCTTTGCCTTTGGTTTGAATGTCCTCCCGTAGCTCAGAGTAATTTGATCGTCTGAAGCCTTCTTCTCTCAGCTCGTCAAAGTCATTCTCCATCCAGCTTTGTTCCGTTGCTGGTGAGGAACTGCGTTCTTTTGGAGGAGGAGAGGCGCTCTGCTTTTTAGAGTTTCCAGTTTTTCTGTTCTGTTTTTTCCCCATCTTTGTGGTTTTATCTACTTTTGGTCTTTGATGATGGTGATGTACAGATGGGTTTTTGGTGTGGATGTCCTTTCTGTTTGTTAGTTTTCCTTCTAACAGACAGGACCCTCAGCTGCAGGTCTGTTGGAATACCCTGCCGTGTGAGGTGTCAGTGTGCTCCTGCTGGGGGGTGCCTCCCAGTTAGGCTGCTGGGGGGTCGGGGTCAGGGATCCACTTGAGGAGGCAGTCTGCACGTTCTCAGATCTCCAGCTGCGTGCTGGGAGAACCACTGCTCTCTTCAAAGCTGTCAGACAGGGACATTTAAGTCTGCAGAGGTTACTGCTGTCTTTTTGTCTGTGCCCTGCCCCCAGAGGTGGAGCCTACAGAGGCAGGCAGGCTTCCTTGAGCTGTGGTGGGCTCCACCCAGTTCGAGCTTCCTGGTTGCTTTGTTTACCTAAGCAAGCCTGGGCAATGGCGGGCGCCCCTCCCCCAGCCTCGCTGCCGCCTTGCAGTTTGATCTCAGACTGCCGTGCTGTGCTAGCAATCAGCGAGACTCCGTGGGCGTAGGACCCTCCGAGCCAGGTGCAGGATATACTCTCATGATGCGCCGTTTTTTAAGCCCATTGGAAAAGCCCAGTATTCGGGTGGGAGTGACCCGATTTTCCAGGTGCCGTCCGTCACCCCTTTCTTTGACTCGGAAAGGGAACTCCCTGACCCCTTGCGCTTCCCAAGTGACGCAATGCCTCGCCCTGCTTTGGCTCGCGCACGGTGTGCGCACCCACTGACCTGCGCCCACTGTCTGGCACTCCCTAGTGAGATGAACCCGGTACCTCAGATGGAAATGCAGAAATCACCCGTCTTCTGCGTCTCTCACGCTGGGAGCTGTAGACCGGAGCTGTTCCTATTCGGCCATCTTGGCTTCTCGACCCTCTATCCTTAAACTTCACAAGAATTGCATTTGTTAAGCAAACAAGGCAAGGCCTGACTCCAGAAGTCCCAGCCACCTCTCTACTGTCTGTTTCAGTTTACAGCTAGCAGGTCGAATATTCTTGTAGTCAGGGAGGGAGGAAGAGGTCTTCCACCTACTCCTACCATTTTCCAAAAGGCTGTGATTCTCTGCAATCCTTGATTCCCATCTGGTTATCAGTACCTTGTCTCTATTATTTTTATAAACTAAAACCTAGAGAGAGAAAGGGTAAAACAGGTAACCTTTGTCCCACCTACAGGTACATAAACTGCAGTAAAACACCTTTTCCTACATTTTCTTATCTGTTCTTTAAAATAGAACTTTTAAAGCATACCTTATTGCTCATGCCTTGGGGATAGGAAAATCAAAATTCAAAGAAGATAAAGGACTTGTTCAAAGCCACTCAGCTGATAAGTAAGGCTTAAATTATATGTTCTTTCTTAGACAAAAATAAAAAATTCTACAAGGTAGGCTTTGATAGAAAGCTGAGTGAAACAGAACAGGCCAGACAATCTTAGAGGAGAGGAGTATGTGAGAGTGAGAGAGAAGGAGAAGAGACAGCAGTTATAGTGTGGGATGGTGGCAGGGGGTGATGAAAGAGGTAGAAGAAGGAATAGGAGTAAATCAGCATATTCCTGCTGTCTTCTCTATGTTGATCCCAGCTAGACTTGTTCCAGTTTAAATGGGGAGCCAATATAAATATAAACATCACAGTATCATGGAAGTGAAAATTTCTGAAGTCTTGGGAAAGAATAACAAACAAACATAGTACTTGGCTTTAGAGCTTCTTTAGTTTGAATAATGCAAAGGATGAAAACTGTCTTCAAATATCTTTCTTGTTTTTGCACTCCTTTCTCTCAACTCCTCTTTAGCACTCTCCAGCCTCCTCAAACACATACTCTTTTGACTTACGGCATTTTTATACCCAATAAATGATTTATGATAATATCTTCTGGGAAATTATAGAATACAATTGAACTACTTGACTGCTCAAATAAACATTTATTTTAATTAGCTCCCATTCTCTGTGATTTAACATTATCACTATTCATGGGTTCACTTACCCTCCCTACCACCAGAAAAAATATTAAAATTTATTTTACAGATTGCATATGCTGTTCAACCTGGGGTGACACTGGCTGAATGGGAAATTTTTATTAAATGATGAGTCATGTTTGGGGAAATGTGTGTGCAGTCATTAAGTCTCTGCAGGAAGTGCTTTTCAGTGTACCATTTGAGGGGTGCTAAGGACAGGTTAGGATGACCCCTTTCGAAGGACAACACATCCCATTTCCCCACAGGAGCTCATCTTTTGGAGAAAATATACCATGGACAGCGGTGGCTCTGATCTACTGATGTTCATTTAGGCAATAAAAATAAGAGATTGTTGCAGAAGAAGGACAAATTTATAAATACTAATTTAACTAATTCCCTCATCACATGTTGAAAAATGTACAAAGCCTCAGGTGTTTCTATGAAAATGAATAAATTTTGCAGAGTTTCATTTGAGTAGAGCACAAGTACTCAGCTTTTGGCCTCAGATTCAGAAAAGTTGTTTCAGTACAAGGTTTTGGAACTGATCTTGAAAAACAAAACAAAAGAAAAACAGACATTGGTTTATGTTCCACAGGTGAGCTACATTGAGGGTGATGACAAAACAGCAGGTCAAGTGGTTCTTAACCTGTTATAGATAATAAATCATCTGAGACACTAATGAATGCTATGAACTCACTTGCTAGAAAAATGTACAGGCACACCCACAGAGAAATATCCATTTAATTTCAAGTGAGTTACCAAACCCACAAGTTCTTCCATGAACCCCAGGTTAAGAGCATCCAATCTGTTCAGAATCCAAACTACCTCATAATCTAATCTGCAGAGGGTCAGCCTCAGCAAAGCCTAGAATCTTTTTAGCAATTCAGAACCTCAGGCTCTACTCTAGATCTGCTAAATCTAAATCTGCCTTTTCATAATGTCTGCAGGTGATTCCCAGGCACACAAAACTTGAGAAACACTGCTTTTGATAGCCATGTCCATGCTGAGCTTAGAAGTTAATATTTATATCTCAAATCATGTTTGGACATTACCCATACTGTAACATGCTTAATAAAAACAAAATGTATAATTTTTCAGTGAGAAGACAAAGACATCAGTAGTGTTTTACATGTGCTCAATGAGAAATAACCTCTTTTTCTCACTTTCAATAGCTTACTTCCTACTCCTCACTTCTTATCCCTCTTTGCTTTGCTATTGATTCTCTTTGCAGAGAGTTGGTGCAGGGAATAGCTAAACTGGAAGTTAGAGCTGGGATCTAGGAAACTCCAGAAGCTTTAATCACATTAAATTGGTCCATTGTGAGGAGCAAGTCGGGAGATGCAGTATTTATGAGAGAGAAGAAGCCAGGTAGTGACCACCTAATCTGTACACCTGTTGGATATAAGGCCTTACTGGGGACCTATGCTATTGTAATGTGGTGGGATCATTTGCAGTGTGACCATTTAAGTGAGACAGTGAAAATGGCTTCCTGGCTGTCAAATGCATTTATGATTTGAGAGCAAGCCCTGTCCAAATGAAAGAGGCCACTCTTTTCTCTAGACTAAGGGAACGACATTCAGACAGCTCTGAGCAGTTGCTCTGACCTCCTCTGCTCACCGTCTCTCATAAGGTGATGAAAACTTCACTGGGCTCAACTTATCAGGCAATGTGTTCTCCAGATTTATCAAGTATTCTAATGTGTCAGCTCAGGCATGTGTGCACCAAGCAGCCTGTTTCTATTAAATGAGGTACCACTCAGAGCGTAGCCAAAAAGAAAATAAACAAATAACTATATTCTTTTAAGTGCAACACTAAAACTAAAAGTTAATTTTTGACTCAAGAGCATACTAGGTTATCGTGGTTTAAAAAAATGCAGTCTTAGCCAGGCGCGGTGGCTCATGCCTGTAATCCTAACACTTTGGGAGAGTGAGGTGGGTAAATCACTTGAGCCCAGGAGTTTGAGACTAGCCTGGACAACATAACAAAACCTCATCTCTGCAAAAAATACAAAAATTAGTCATGTGAGGTGTCGCTCACCTGTAGTCCCAGTTACTCGGGAAGCTGAGGCGAGAGGATAACCACTGCCAGGGAGGACAAAGCTTCAGTGAGCTGTGATTGAGCCAGTGCACTCTAGCTTGGGTGACAGAGTAAGAGACTGTCTAAAAAAAAAATGTGGTCTCGGCCGGGCGCGGTGGCTCATGCCTATAATCCCAGCACTTTGGGAGGCCGAGGCGGGCAGATCACAAGGTCAGGAGATCGAGACCATCCTGGCTAACACGGTGAAACCCCGTCTCTACTAAAAATACAAAAAAATTAGCTGGGCATGGTGGCAGGCACCTGTAGTCCCAGCTCTCGGGAGGCTGAGGCAGGAGAATGGCGTGAACCCCGGAGGCAGAGCTTGCAGTGAGCAGAGATTGCACCACTGCACTCCAGCCTGGGTGACAGAGCGAGACTCCATCTCAAAAAAAAAAAAAAAAAAAGTGGTATCTGTTAGAAAATTCTTACTCAGGTGACCTCAGAAGTAGAAAAATACATAAAACTTGCTGGGTAAAAGAATCAGAAATGTCAAAGAAGAATGTTTTAGAAGAGCACTTTGAAAAAGACATTAAAAATAGCAGTCACTATAAGTGCCATTATTCTTATAAGTCTGTACGTGCAATTATTCATTTCAAAATGAGAGGCATACGGTTTCATGAATAGGGCTTACTTATCATTGTTTTCCACCAAAAAAGCTTGTAGAATCCCTTTTACCACAGAAGATAAAGGCATTCTCCTCTAAGAGCCTTGATATTCCGGTAAATAAGGAGATCCTGGAGATAAGAACATCAGTCCTCCTGCAAGCCTAAGATGAAAGTCAATGCTGGAACACACACAAGATGTTTAACATGACACCTGAATTCGTTTATAAGTCCCTGCTAGTAAGATAAGAGTTATAAACATTCAAATCGAAGACTGTTTTTCACACAGTCTTTTAGGTACTACAGGTCATGTCTTTAGAAATGGGTTGCTGATGGTTAAACTGTTTAATATGACAGAGACTTTTTGTTTGCTTTCAGTATGTTAGATTTTTCATAACACATTTTCAATAGTCCATTAGCACAGAGGTTTATGTGAGCACTTTATTTCAACATTTCCCCTTGCTGCCAAAGAAAGCAACTGTAACTTGATGCTCATTGAAGAACTTTAAAGATCTGTCAACTACTTAGAATACTTAAAATGTATACCATGAGTCTCAAAATATTCAAATTAAAACCTTTCTCTTACTCATAGTCTTTCACAAAACAAAAAGGAGAAAGGGAGAATATCTACCCTTATTTCTGTAGTAACTGAGGTTGTAGAATTTCATGTTTCCTTCCTCCTTAAAGAGGAAAGACCATCTGATTTCACAGATGAGAAAAGTGAGATTCAGAAGAGCAAAATCAGTTCTGTAGTTGGCATGATGGAGAGACTAGTCCTTAGGACTCTGACTGACTTCCACTGATCCACACTCCTCCTCCTTTTTTTTTTTTTTTTGAGATGGAGTCTCTTGCTCTGTCACCCAGACTGGAGTGCAGTGGCATGATCTTGGCTCACTGCAACCTCTGCCTTCCAGGTTCAAGTGATTCTCCTGTCTCAGCCTCCTGAGTATCTGGGATTACAGGCACATGACACCATGCCCGGCTAATTTTTTGTATTTTAGTAGAGATGGGGTTTCACTGTGTTGCCCAGGCTGGTCTTGAACTCCTGAGCTCAGGCAATCTGCCTGCCTCAGCCTCCCAAAGTGCTAGGATTACGGGTGTGAGCCACCACACCTGGCCGCCTCCTTTCTATGAACGCAGAGAATTCTATTCTTCTTTATGGAGGCCACTGCATGTCTGTTTATTTTCATAAAAATAAACCACTGAATTTCCGAGGGCTGTGGTTTCAAGTGTCTTTTCCACTCTATGCAATTTATTTGGCTTTAGCATAAGATGCTATTTATAGTTCAGATTATTAAACATGTTATAAAATGTTCATGAATTTGTAAGTTATTTCATCGTATCTGCCTTTATCTTTTTCTAGTACCTGATATCTAATCCTTACAAACTTACAAGTCGCTCTGGTTTGTCTAAACTCATTATTAGACTTGAAATTGAAGAACTGCAGTCAAATTCTGGCTCTCACCTTAATTATTTTATTATATTCTGACCAATTCAACCAACATTCGAGTGTCCACCATATGTAAGGGTGGCGATGAAGGTCCTAAGAATAATGACACATGACCCTGGAAAAGTTGAAAGGTATTCAACCTCTCTAAATATTGACCTCTGTATTGGTAATGCTGGTCAAAGTTACTTCTCAGGTAGATATACATTTATTTGGAAATGTCCTCTGTAAACTATAAAAAGGTGACAAAGTATAAAGCATAAGCCTTACTACTTTTATGTAAGTTGATTTTTAAAAAGATGCTTTATTTTCAAAATATTTCAAAACAACAACAAAATCTATACAGCAGTAGTTAACCATGTGACCCATCAAGTGTATAAGAAATGTAAAAGGAATATTTACTGCCTTGAAAACAACCTACTGCCCACCTTTCCTTCACCATTCCTTCTGTCACTCATGCGGCCACCCACTCTGCAGTATAATCCAAGTACATTCTTTGTAGCTTACATGTTTCGAATTATGTCTTCTATTAGGTTACAAAGTTCTGAAAATAGATTATTTATTATTTTTCACTTTCTCTTACGATTATCTGGATGGCCACTGAATACTTTAACCTCAGAGTTTCATTGTATTAGGTTGATATAGTTAACTTCAGTTTCATATATGGTCTAACAATTCTTGATGCGATATTTTCTTGTAATTGGGCAAACCTTTCATAAAAGGGACTCAAACTTTTCTACTGCAGTCATTCACTCCCTCCCCAAAAGAAGTTTTTGCAATTCTGAAAAATACTAGCTGTTCAGTTTTTGCTCTCATTGACCTATGCTCACACTCTCCAACTCCCATTGTAAGCAATAGTCCCATATGCCTTAAACTCTTATATACTTCTTTATGCTCATCTTTATTTTTTTTAATTTGTTTCTAAAGCCTTGGCCATCAGTGATGGTGAAAGCAACAGATGTCAGATGTCAGCCCCTGGCTTCCTGCCTTACCGTAGAGGGATACTCGACAGACAGACTGGACAGGTGAGTTAAAGGCAGATGGCAGCTATTCCAGAGTGCTCCAGCTAGTTGCTACTTTTGCTATAACATCTCCTCTCCATGTAATGCCAACATAAAGGAATAAAATGTTTACTCAAACACTCAGCTAAATGACTTAACTTACCTGATGTAGTTCCTCCTAAAGAATATTTAATTATTAGGATCCTAGAAGACCCCTTTTAGGGGGGGAAAAAGTCACTCTAAGAATAACTGTTAACATCACAAAAAAGCTAGGTAAAATCCTGTATCTATCTATCTTCAAAGTTAGTTAAAAAAACAAACAAACAAACAAAAAAACATTTCTCCAAATTCTTTACATTTGGCTGTCACCTCAATTGTTGACCTTGGGCAAGCTACCTAACGTTTTTAGGCCTCTGCTTTGTCACTTATAAATAGGGCATCAATTACTTGGCTTACGCATAATGACTCTTCTAGAAATTATTTCTCTCTCCTCTGGGCAATTAACAGAGCTCTTTTCCTATTAATATTTATTTTCTAAAACCTCAGAGGAAATACTAATTTATTAAGCCACCAAGTAGGTAGGTTCCAGAGTCACAAACATTATTGATACTTAAATTTGCCTTAATTACATTTTACCAATGGTAATTTAGGATGACCAGACCAAATCGAATCATCCTAATTCTGTTAGGAGTGAGGACAGGAAAATTTCAAGGAGATGTCTACCAAAAAGCCACACCGATAGCTTTCACATGAGATGAAACTTAGATGTAGTGTAATTTTCCACTATAGCATTGATTGGAAGTATTGGCTTCAATAACAGCAAATCAACACATCTCTCCTATTTAGCTGTGCCAATGATTTATTCTATCTGACTGGCCTTTAAAATGACCGTCTTGTGTCACCTTCTAAAGGATGTCTGATCTCCCATGACCTCTGCCTGTGGCTGATTTTAGCAGAATGGAACACTCGTGTGGTATTCTTGATGAATACCCGCAATGGCAGCCTACGAGTGGCTCAGGGAAAGCAATTGTATTAAGGCATTATAGTAATTTATTGGCAGTTTTGTGTGATAGCAGATTTACTGAAATAAGGCCTGCCAAAAAGATCAGGTTACAGCAGGAATACATGATTTCCCAACCATCCATAAAATATAAATCAAACGCCTTTTCTGTCCACTGTCAGCCACCTCCACCCCCTCCTTGTCTTCAGTCCTCAGACAAATTAAAGCACATGCCACAATTTGCACGGGGAAAATCAAACTCAATTTCGCAGTACAATGAAGTGAGTTTTGGACTTGTCATGTCCACTGACATATTGATCCCTTGAAGATGGAAAAGATCAGAATGCTCTGGAGTTTTGCTTTTATAAATATATGTGTGTAAAATGCAATGTGTAAATGAAGGAAAATATAGTGCTTATGGAGTTTTACAAAGTTGCAAGAGGTCCAGGGGGCTAATGTTATAAAAGAGTATTATGATATAAAGGTCACTATTTAAGAGATCACATTTTCTTTCCCTTTAGAATTACATCTCTAGAAGACAAATGGTCTCCTAACCCAGGTTCATTTAAAGTGCAGCTGATCACTAAAAGGAATTTTAACTAGTAAAGAAGAAAAAAACCCACACACCCTATCTTAGCCCTTTGTAAAATTTATGTCAGATCTATAATGCAATAAGCCCAATACTCTATCAAACATTTTCTATTTAACCTGAAAGTGGACTAAGCCAAATCACTTACATGTCTACATTTGTGATTTGCAAAGTGTAGTGATTGCAGCCTCCATGAAATGTGTAAAGATCTCACGGTTATTCACGTCTATAGATAAAGCATTAAAAAATGGAAGCACTCTATTATAAGGTGATGATGAAATTGTAAGAAACACCATAAATACCCTAGAGTCTTGTAAGTTACATTTTTAACTCAGCAGGTGGAAGGAAAAAAAATTGAGGAAATGAATCTGTTTTCAGGTAAGCAGAATTTCAGTCGTTATGACAACAGAATGGCTTTCTAATTACTGCTTACTATAAAAATATTGCAAAATGCTCTGCAACCCCATGGAGACTATTACTGCATAATATGTTTTGCCCTAGACCCATGTAAAACTGCTGCAAGCATAGCTCTGTGTGCCTTATTGGGAGGCAAACTAAGGCACAGACTGATGGTGTTGCCCATGAAAATCCACAGGGAGGGGAACAACACACACTGCACACACTGGGGCCTGTCGGTGGGTAGGGTGAAGGGAGGAAGAGCATCAGGAAAAATAGCTAATGCATGCAGGGCTTAATACCTAGGTGATGGGTTGATAGGTGCAGCAAACCACCATGGCACACGTTTAACTATGTAACAAACCTGCATGTCCTGCACATGTACCCCAGAACCTAAAATAAAATAAATTTAAAAAAAAAAGCAAATTCACACACAGGAATTTGAGTGGGGAAAGAGCTTCTTCCTTGATCCTAATCTCAAAGCTTTCAAAGTAGAAGTTTCTCATTTTTAAAAATTAGAGCAATGCCTCACATTACCATATTCTAAAGTAATTACTTGCGGTAAGTAAAGATAAATTCATCACTAATTATGCAGTCCTTTCTTGTGAAATCCACAGTAAAATTATTTGAGGTATTTTTTTTAAAAGCTGACAAGAGAATGACTTTACTTCATCAATCGGTTTGAGGAAAGTAATGATTTTCTTAGAATCAAAACTTGTTGAAAGCTCTAAGTATTTCATCTTTAAGTCTAAGAAGCATGTAGTTAATGTCACAGCTAATACATTTGTCAGTCTGCTAATTTTCTTTTTCTATCAGAATAAGTAAACATTAGCCCTTTTAAAAAGCATGCTATTTACCATGTGTCAGGAGCAATGCAGGAAGAACTTATTTGAAAATCATGAGGTAAGACATTATGAAATGAACAGGAATCATAGGAAGACAATAAGAGAGAAACACTAAAGGAAAAAGAATTTAATAATTCCAAAGGGATGGCGGGGCATGCCTCCAGTTGAGTGGGGGAGAGGAGTGGCATTTAAAGAGGAGCTATAAAAAACATAAAATCAAACAAAAACTCTAGCCAGAGATATCTGAAAATAGGAAAGAAGAGATGGCTTGAGAGAAATAGTTCAAATAAAAACAAAAGAAGGATCTTAAGGGTACCATGAAAATAAAAGAAAACGAGATTTTGCCTTGTTGCCATTAGATCAGAGAATGGTTCTTTGGCTCTTCAGACATGCTTATTATTTGATGAAATTAGTATAGAAACAGCACAACTGATTCTACTTCCCTTCTATGAAGGACATAATCCACTTATACTGCATTGTATCAGATTTTGTTTTAGGCAGCTTTGGCATTAATGTAATTAGAAGAAAATAACTAGTAAAAAAATGCCAATTCTCTGCTCCATCTATCATCAAATCTTCTTTAAAAAAAATTGTATCCTTTTGTTATTGTAGCACTTCAGAGCATAGGTTGACTTCCAAATCTTGTGTCCCAAACTAAACATCACTGGTGCAGTAAAATTTTTCATTTAAAGTAGCCATAGTAGCCTCCAGAATGTCATTTTCAGCTGTTTTATTCTTAAAGTTTTTACTTGCAAGCCGAGAGAACATTAACAGCATAAACTGCTGCAACCGCACTTTACTTTTTGTTGCTACCAAATTGGTCCTCTTTACTATAGAATAGTTAAGGTTCTTACCTTTCCTCATTAAAATGTGAGTGAAGAAATCTGATGAGAAAATATATTCTTCAATTCAGAATTATTTTAAGATGTTTCTTGATTTTTTCTTCTAATGATTTAATTTAATGATTTAGTCGTTTTATTAGTCTTTTTCTTATTAAACAAGTTAGACATAAACTAAGAGGCACAAATGAGTTTCTAAAATTTGAGAACCCAGGAGAGCAGGGAAAAGATGCATTACTTACTTGCTATGTAGACTTAAGCTACTTAAATTCTCTGTGTCTCAGTTTCCTTGTGCCTAAAATGGGGTTAAGACTAATAGCTACCTTACAAAGTTGTTTAGAGGATCAAATGAGATGTAATAAGCCTTCAGAATCATGCCTGTCCTATAGGCAGGTGCATTAAAGATTCATTAAAGGCTCGTTATTGTTAGCAGTTGCAATTAAGCTGTCAACTATCTTGAATACTAGTTTCCTTCAAGGTCTGTTTCCTTGGGTTGTGCTTGCAGTGGGGAAACAGATGCAGCCAGAAATCACAAGGAAGCATACTCTTGGCACCAGAATTTCAGTAAATGAATGCTCTTGCTTCAAGTTGTCTCTGCCTCAATTATCAAAGACTTCATAGTTTTGGGGCCATATAAAGTAGCAGATCCTCCCCATAATGTAGTATGTGTGGAGTGTGTATGCATGGGAGGGTGGAGAGAGGGGCTTGGGCAATACAGACCTTTTTAAGTCCCTATGTGGGCTTTGCTGGGGTGAGAAGGGCCATCTCTTGTAGAATGAAATCATGACCTGTGCTGAGCCTATGTGTCAAGGAAGACTCCATAGTGGAACGTGCGTCCCAACCAATGGAATCCTACATGCTTTCATGCTCCACTCCACCTCCCAGGGGCTGTGTAGCTGAGTATCCATATTGCACATCATGTGAATGTTGAGAACATCAGAGGTGATGTGTACAAATCAACTAATGTCATCCCAGCAACTAGATACATTCTTAATATAAAATAATTAATATTTATACTTCATAGACAATCATTTTTCTAGCTTTTACAGTCATTATGTGGCTTGTGTACTAATGCAACAAAATAAATTATTGTAGGTCTGAGTAACAGAAAAGTTAGTCAAATGTATGAGCATAATGTAGATTAGCCCAGTTCAGCTGCCTATGCTCATCAAGGAGGCCATCTCAGATTACTGAAATTTACTATCTTATGCCTGATATACTGAGGATTTTAAGAATTATTCTAATATTCCAAATAATTTTAAGTACTATTATTTATTTATCTCTACTTATCTATTGACATTCATTCTACCTGTTTCTTCTTTTCCTCCTCTCCTCCTTCTTCTGTCTCTGCCTCTCTCTCCCCCTCCTCAACCCCTAACAAAAACAAAATGGAGCTCAATTTGGATACTAGCTGAAGTAATAAAATCAATACTGCATTGGGAATCTGGGACTCATTTCCCATCCCTGCCATCTTATTTTCTTAGAAAGGACCATAGATATTTTACTTTCTATCAATCTAAATGTTAGTTAGTTTCTTCATTTTTAAAATTAATTGAGTTGTACTCAGCACTGGTTCTGACATTTCTTTGTGGCCTAGTACTCTGAAATAAATAAGAACTCCTGAGAAATGACTATTGAAAGGCACAAATTAGAATTATGATTTCTCTAAAAAGTGGTTTTGCAGATTTTTATACCTTTACATCTAGTCTTGCAGTCTAGCTTTAACGCTTAGAACTCATGTGGCAGAATGAAGTTAGGGAATCAGGAATGTTTCCAGTATTCTCTAGCAAGCACACCTATAGCACATATTAAAAATGGTGGACTGGCTTCCAGGATTCATGGACAACTTTCCAAAGGGATGAAAAGCACCTACAACCAATCAGTTGCTTGGGAGGTGGGTCATTAAGGGTTACACTACAAGCATCAGTAACAAAAATGAGCACACTGGGCATGTAATCAGCATTGAAAAGATATATGACATCTAGGCCTTCTCAAGCACCCTCATGCACTTAAATAGAGGCACCAATAATAATAAGAATTTTAAAGGTGAACAACCGAGTACTTTACCTGGCTGAGACAAAAGTGGTGTGTAAGGGACTTTCGGTTCTATTGCACTCATTGGTGGAGGTAGCAAAGGATTAGCAAAGCTGCGGAGTGGGTGAGTTGGTCGAACACAAGCTGTGGGGATGGTTCTGCTTGGTGCCTCCTCGCTGCTAGAATGCTCAGGCTGAGATGGGGGCAGCATAGGTGGTTGTTGGGTAGTTGGTCCTTCACTCACTGCTGCAGTGGAGACAAGAAAAGTCATTCATTATTCCTGGACAAAGTCTGTTTTCCTTAAGTCACTGGAACAGTCCCTGCATCCATTCAGAGAGATGTGATAGGATGTGGTCAGTCTCTTCTCCAAGTTATGAACATTGTCATTCGTCTACCTTCATATACTTACGGAACATGACAGCACTTCCCCTTTAAACAATAGAAATAGATCCAGCAGGACAGGAATTTATCTTTGAGAAAGAATAGTAAAATATATTGAGCACTGACTATATTGCTTGAACTGTCTGGGCCCTCTAATCATAAGTGATGAAGCGAGAAAAAAGAGTTATTTCTCCTTTCATAAGTAGCAATGTCAGTGAAATTCAATGTACCAAACCCTGTTACAGCTGCATTATTTTCTACCAGCCAATTTTTCTGTGATTTAAACATGCCATGTCAACTGTCAAACAAATCAGAGTTACAGGATGCTCAGAGGCATTGCTAATAAAATGATACAAATAATAACCACTATCATTATCTTCCATAACAAAATGGAGGCACATCTAGCTAAAAAGTTATATGAGAGATGACTCTGCCAGAACAAGTTGCCTGAATGCGGAATTGCAATTTTTCCTCTTTGATAGTAAACCTTGTAATTTTCAGGCAGATTACGGTAGTTGAAGAGGTTCTGCACGGTTACTGTGAGTGCCTATGGGCATTTGAAAAGCTTTGTATATGGAAATACACCTTTTTTTTTTTTTTTCCAGAGAACACAGTTAAGACAGAATAAAATATTTTCAAGGAAGTTTTCCTTGTTAATGACACAGTGATTGAACTTGAACTATTCATTCATATTCAAAGTTAACAGGTCCAGGTTAAACTGCAAGCAAAACGAGCTGCATAGTAGGTTTAAGTATTAATAAAATATTTTTTCTGATGACTTATTTCTTAATAAAGTTTTGTCAGATAAATCAAAACAAAATGCAGTGATATAAGATAATATCTTGCTTTTGAAAGAGAATTTTTAACCAGGAAATATTTCAAGATAATTAGTGAGATAATTTTGAGACAAGTCTCCCGGAGGCTCAAGGAGGTCATCAAAGGGCAGAGGAAATAGAAAATCTGATAATTCTGAAGGGAATAGAGATTTAAGATACAAAAGATCAAGACATAGAATTAAAGTTATGCAGAAGTGAAATGTGTCTTCAGAGGGTATCTATACTCATTCTTCTATATTCAGAAGGGGTTAGAGGTCTTCTGGGTCATTGAGCAGCCTCCAGGCTTATCCCATTCAGAGATGAAGGTAGAAAGATAGATACAAGGTTGGCTGAGCACAGGATGTAGCCATATAGCAATCAGAGCCAAAATACAGGCAGAGACTTGATAAAAGATTTCTTTGAACAAGGGAAATGAATCAAGGCAGCAAATGAGAGAATCCCAAGGAGTTTGAAGAGAAGTGCCTTATTTCCAGGCTAGGAAATCTTTCTTACCAAAGAAGAAGAAAAAGAGCAAATGAATGCACAGTATTAAGGATAAAGTGTAGGGCTGCAAGTAAACCATTAAGGCAAATCCTTGGTGATGTTGGCTTTCAGATGCGAGGCTTTAGGTAGGTGTTATACAAGGCACTAAATTTCTTTTAAGACTGTAAAGGGGAGAGAAACACTTGTGTGCTTGTATTCAAACAGTGTCATGTAATGAGATTTTTGTGAGTGTGGTTCTAGAGACAATGAAAATTACTCAGGTTTGACTTTTGACTCATTTAATCTAAAGGAGACTATGACCGATGGTCAATTTTTAGCCAAGACCCAACTTTGGGCATCTTTGTGGCACTGGCCTGAAAGAGATGACATCAAGTCCTCTCCTCACTCTTTGTTCCCATAAGAAAGTTTACCTTAATGTGGGCCTCCTTGATAGCAATTCCTTCCAACCACAGGTCTCAGAGGATGCTTGTGAAATGTTAGATTGCAGGCATTGCTTAGGAGGAAAAGGCAGGCTCTTTCACAAAGGATTCTCAAGATAATCGTTGGATTGGAGAAAATTATTCATCAGAAAGAGTTTGTAATTTCACAGAAGAAATTCTGGGGAAGTGAAAATGCTTTGGCTTCTGTGTTCCTCTGTGAATTGTGCGTCTCACAAATGATGTTCCTGTGGCTATTTCTCTAGGTTCCTCCTTTATCTCCAATGGGCTAGCTTTTCATTAAAGGGTCTATAAATGCCACATTAAAAATATTCATCCAGGGAAAGAAATTTCACAATTTTCCTCAAAAATCTGCCTTAAATAATTCTCTCTATTGAATATGGATTGCAATTAATGCACATTACATTTTAAACACTGGTTTAGCCATTAAAGGGACAATATGTTTATGATGTTTTATTTCCTTTTTTACTCCCTTCTTTCAATTTTTCCTTTTCTACTTTTTCTGCATTTTTGAAATAAAATCTACATTATACTTTCAACCACTTGATCAATTCAGCTATTGATACTTGTGTATGCTTCACGAGGTTCTTGTGCTGTGTTTTTCAGCTCCATCAGGTAATTTATGTTCTTCTCTAAACTGGTTATTCTAGATAGCAATTCATCTAACCTTTTCTCAAGGTTCTTAACTTCCGTGCATTGGGTTAGAGCTTCCTTGCATTGGGTTAGAACATGCTCCTTTAGCTTGGAGGAGTTTCTTATTACCCACCTTCTGAAGCCTACTTCTGTCAATTCATCAGACTCATTCTCTGTCCAGTTTTGTTCCCATGCTGGTGAGGAGTTGTGATCCTTTGGAGAAGAGGCATTCTGGTTTTTGGAATTTTCAGACATTTTGCAGTGGTTTCTCCTAATCTTCGTGGATTTATCTACCTTTGGTCTTTCTTTGATGTTGGTGACCTTCGGATGGAGTCTCTTCGTGGACATCCTTTTTGTTGATGTTGATACTATTCCTTTCTGTTTGTTAGTTTTCCTTCTAACAAACAGTCAGGCCCCTCTGTGGCAGGTCTGCTGGAGTTTGTTGGATGTCCACTCCAGACCATGTTTGCCTGGGTATCACCAGTGGAGGCTGCAGGACAGCAAAGTTTGCTGCCTGTACCTTCCTCTGGAAGCTTCGTCCCAGAGAGGCACCCGCCAGCCAGAGCTTGCCTATATGAGGTGTCTGTCAGCTCCAACTGGGAGGTGTCTCCCAGTCAGGATACATGGGCTGGATGGAGACCCACTTGAGGAGGCAGTATGTCCCTTATCAGAGCTCAAACACTGTGCTGAGAAATCCACTTCTCTCTTCAGAACTGTCAGGCAGGGACGTTTAGGTCTGCTGAAGCTGTGCCCATAGCTGCCCCTTCCCCCAGGTGCTCTGTCCCAGGGAGATGGGGTTTTTACCTATAAGTCCCTGACTGGGGCTGCTGCTTTTTTTTCAGAGATGCCCTGCCCAGAGACGAGGAATCTAGAGAGCCAGCTTGGGAAGAAAGGATATCAGAGATTGAAATCAACTTAATGAAATAAAGTGAGAGGATTAGAGCAAAAAGAGTGAAAAGAAATGAACAAAGCCTCCAAAACATATGGGACTATATGAAAAGACCAAATCTACGTCTGATTGGTGTACCTGAAAGTGACGGGGAGAATGGAACCAAGTTGGAAGACACTCTTCAGGATATTATCCAGGAGAACTTCTCAAGACAGGCCAACATTCAAATTCAGGAAATACAGAGAACACCATAAAGATACTCCTCGAGAACAGCTACCCCAAGGCACATAATCGTCAAATTGTCAGATTCACCAAGGTTGAAATGAAGGAAAAAATGTTAAGGGCAGCCAGAGAGAAAGGTCGGGTTACCCACAAAGGGAAGCCCATCAGACTATCAGCGGATCTCTCGGCAGAAACTCTATAAGCCAGAAAGAGTGGGGGCCAATATTCAACATTCTTAAAGAATTTTCTTTCTTTCTTTTTTTTTTTTTTTTTGAGATGGAGTCTTGCTCTGTTACCCAGGCTGGAATGCAGTGTGCGATCTTGGCTCACTGCAACCTCTGCCTCCCAGGTTCAAGCAATTCTCTGCCTCAGCCTCCTGAGTAGCTGGGATTACAGGTGCCCACCACCATGCTCAGCTAGTTTTTGTATTTTTAGTAGAAATGGGGTTTCACCATCTTGGTCAGGCTGGTCTTGAACTCCTGACCTCAGGTGCTCCACCAGCCTTGGCCTCCCAAAGTGCTGGGATTACAGGCATGAGTCACCACGCCTGGCCTCTTAAAGAATTTTCAACCCAGAATTTCATATCCAGCCAAACTAAGCTTTGTAAGTGAAAGAGAAATAAAATCCTTTACAGACAAACAAATGCTGAGAGATTTTTGTCACCACCAGGCCTGCCTTACAAGAGCTCCTGAAGGAGGCACTAAACATGGAAAGGAACAACCGGTACTAGCCACTGCAAAAACATACCAAATTGTAAAGACCATTGACATGATGAAGAAACTGCATTAATTAACAGGCAAAATAACCAGCTAGCATCATAATGACAGGATTAAATACACACATAACAATATTAACCTTAAGTGCAAACAGGCTAAATTCTCCAATTAGAGTGGCAAATTGGATAAAGAATCAAGACCCATCAGTGTGCTGTATTCAGGAGACCCATCTCACGTGCAGGCACACATAGGCTCAAAATGAAGGGATAGAGGAAGATTTACCAAGCAAATGGAAAGCAAGAAAAAGCAGAGGTTGCAATCCTAGTCTCTGATAAAACAGACTTTAAGCCAACAAAGATCAAAAGAGACAAAGAAGGCCATTACATAATGGTTAAAGGGATCAATGCAACAAGAAGAGCTAAGTATCCTAAATGTATATGCACCCAATGCAGGAGCACCCAGATTCATAAAGCAAGTTCTTATAGACCTACAAAGAGATTTAGACTCCCACACAATAATAGTGGGTGACTTTAACAGCCCACTGTCAACATTAGATCAATGAGATAGAAAATTAACAAGGATATCCATTACTTGAACTCAGCTCTGGACCAAACAGACACCCACACAACCCTCCAGCCCACATCAACAGAATATACATTCTTTGTAGCACTACATCACAGTTATTCTAAAATTGACCATATAATTGGAGGTAAAACACTCTTCAGCAAATGGAAAGGAACGGAAATAATAAACAGTCTCTCAGACCACAGTGCAATCAAATTAGAACTCAAGATTATGAAACTCACTCAAAACCACACAACTACATGGAAACTGAACAACCTGCTCCTGAATGACTACTGGGTAAATAACAAAATTAAGGCAGAAATAAAGATGTTCTTTGAAACCAATGAGAACAAAGACACAACATACCAGAATCTCTGGGACACATTTAAAGCAGTGTGTACAGGGAAAGTTATAGTACTAAATGCACACAACAGAAAGCAGAAAAGATCTGAAATCAACACCATAACATCACAATTAAAAGAACTAGAGAAGCAAGAGCAAACAAATTCAAAAGCTAGCAGAAGACAAGAAATAACTAAGATCAGAGCAGAACTGAAGGAGATAGAGACAGGAAAAAGCTAGCAGAAGACAAGAAATAACTAAGATCAGAGCAGAACTGAAGGAGATAGAGACAGGAAAAACCCTTCAAAAAATCAATGAATCAAGGAGCTGGTTTTTTGAAAAGATCAACAAAATAGACTGCTAGCCAGACTACTAAAGAAGAAAAGAGAGAAGAATCAAATAGGCACAATCAACAATGATAAAGGGGATATCACCACTGATCCCACAAAAATCAAACTACCATCAGAGAATACTATAAACACCTCTGTGCAAATAAACTAGAAAGTCTAGAGAAATGGATAAATTCCTGGACACATACATGGAACGTATCTCAAAATAATAAGAGCTATTTACAACAAACCCACAGCCAATATCATACTGAATGGGCAAAAACTGGAAGCATTCCCTTTGAAAACTGGCACAAGACAAGGATGCCCTCTCTCTCACTACTCCTATTCAACATAGTGTTGGAAGTTCTGGCCAGGGCAATCAGGCAGGAGGAAGAAATAAAGAGTATTCAATTAGGAAGAGAGGAAGTCAAATTGTCTCTGTTTGCAGAAGACATGATTGTATATTTAGAAAACCCCATCATCTCAGCCCTAAATCTCCTTAAGCTGATAAGCAACTTCAGCAAAGGCTCAGGATACAAAATCAGTGTGCAAAAATCACAAGCATTCCTATACATCAATAACAGACAAACAGAGAGCCAAATCATGAGTGAACTCCCATTCACAATTGCTACAAAGAGAACAAAATAATACCTAGGAATACAACTTACAAGGAATGTGAAGGACATCTTCAAAGAGAACTACAAACCACTGCTCAAGGAAATAAGAGAGGACACAAACAAATGGAAAAATATTCCATGCTCATAGATAGGAAGAATCAATACCATGAAAATGACCACATTGCCCAAAATAATTTATAGATTCAACGCTACCCCATCAGGCTACCATTGACTTTCTTCACAGAATTGGAAAAAACTACTTTAAATTTCATATGGAACGAGAAAAGAGCTCATATAGCCAAGAGAATCATAGCCAAGAGAATCCTAAGCAAAAAAGAACAAAGCTGGAGGCATCATGCTACCTGACTTCAAAATATTCTACAAGGCTACAGTAACCAAAACAGCATGGTACTGGTACCAAAACAGATATACAGACCAACAGAACAGAACGGATGCCTCAGAAATAATACCACACATCTACAACCATCTGATCTTTGACAAACCTGACAAAAACAGGCAATGGGGAAAGGATTCCCTATTTAATAAATGGTGTTGGGAAAACTGGCTAGCCATATGCAGAAGGCTGAAACTGGATCCCTTCTTTACACCTTATACAAAAATTAACTCAAGATGGATTAAAGACTTAAACATAAGACCTAAAACCATAAAAACCCTAGAAGAAAACCTAGGCAATACCATTCAGGACATAAGCACGGGAAAAGACTTCATGACTAAAACACCAAAAGCAATGACAACAAAAGCCAAAACTGACAAAAGGGATCTAATTAAAGATCTTCTGCACAACAAAAAAGCTATCATCAGAGTGAACAGGCAACCTACAGAATGGGAGAAAATTTTTGCAATCTATCCATCTGACAAAAGACTAATATTTATTTAGAAGCTACAAAGCACTTAAACAAATTTACAATAAAAAAAAATCCCATCAAAAAGTGGGCAAAGGATATGAACAGACACTTCTCAAAAGAAGACATTTATGCAGCCAACAAACATATGAAAAAATGCTCATCATCACTGGTCATTAGAGAAATGCAAATCAAAACCGCAATGAGATACCATCTCAGGCCAGTTAGAATAGCTATCATTAAAAAGTCAGGAAACAACAGATGCTGGAGAGGATGTGGAGACATAGGAAGGCTTTTACACTGTTGGTTGGAGTGTAAATTAGCTCAACCATTGTGGAAGACAGTGTGGCAATTCCTCAAGAATCTAGAACTAGAAATACCATTTGGCCCAGAATCATGCCCAAAGGATTATAAATCATTCTACTATAAAGAAACATGCATGTGTATATTTATTGTGGCACTCTTCACAATAGCAAAGACTTGGAAGCAATCCAAATGCCCATCAACGATGGACTGGATAAAGAAAATGTGGCACATATACACCATGGAATACAATGCAGCCATAAAAAAGGATGAGTTTATATCCTTTGTAGGGAGGAAACCATCATTCTCAGCAAACTAACACAAGAACAGAAAACCAAACACCACATGTTCTCACTCATAAGTGGGAGATGAACAATGAGGACACATGTACACCAAGGCCTCTCGGGGATTGGAGGGTAGGGGAGGGATAGCATTAGGAAAAATACCTAATGTAGATGATGGGTTGGTGGGTGCAGCAAACCACCATGGCACGTGTATATCTATGTAACAAACCTGTACATTCTGCACATGTACCCCAGAAATTAAAGTATAATAAAGAAATCTACATTATTGTGATTGTAAGTTTAATAGAATGTACATGCATTTGTTAGTCTTTTGAAATTTGGTCTCTTATTTTGAAAACTTTCATATTTCACATGAATTCTGATTACGCCACTGAATTTTCTTTTTTCCTAATCCTACTCTTTAACGCCATTGCTCCTCATCAGCATCTCCAAAAACAAAAATTGTCTGCATGCCCAGTCTTCTATCCCCAAGTTTTCAGCTGGCTCCTGTGATCCTGGCTGCAAACAAACATCATGATATGGCTCTTGACTTTGACAGAAGTAAAAATGGCTTTACATAGGTAGGTCCCCTCTTTAGCAAAATCCATCCTTAGTACCACATAGGGAGAATAGGAAAGTGCCTAATGTACTAGACAGGAGTGAGAGGGCCCTTCCTCAAGACGGAATATATCACCAATCCCTAAGGGACAATTTCTGTTGTGTTCAAAATGAATACAATGAACAGGTATAGGATTTCCATCTATAATTCATAATTCTTATATTTTAAGTGGAGCAAAATAAATGCTTTTTGGAACTGCCTGACACTTAAGGCAGCAAAAACCCTTTAACAAATACAATAGCAACTGGTCCGCCAGTGAAATACTCTCATTTCAGATGAGCACTTTTGTCCAGTTCAGGCACTGGCTTTAGGACACCTATGTGAAACAAAACAAATTGGCTTAGTGGCATGACATTTAGCTCTGCCAAGATCTCTGAAAGCAAAGAAACCTGCTTTTGTCCATGACGTGCCCCTGCTCTGCAATTCAGAGTATCGAGTGAGAATCAAATACATGCTAGCAAGGCACTTGTTGTTACATGATGAAATAGTCAGAATTCATTATACAAATAGCATACCATTACACAGCAGAGTCAAATCTCAAGGTACTTTATAATAATTAATGTCAATACATATAAATAATTGCTACAGAATAACTGGGAAAATATTATAAAAATGGAAATGAGGAATTTTCTTCTATATAAAAACTACAATATGTGATTGATAGAAATATAGCAAGCCAATAACTCTAAGCAAAGACTGAGTCATGAACACTTCTAGAAACCCAATTCACTCATTAACCTCAGAAGAACGACGTAACACAATATTTTTACATAACCCCAGTTTCTTACAGCCTGTATTTTTTTAAAATACCCTAGAGATTACTCTATGAACTCCATTGCACTCCTCATTTTATCTAGGTCAAGTTTCATTTATTAGTTGATTTCCCATTTGAGGGAGAACAGAGGCAGAAAAATAGCATGAATAAAGCTGACCAGCCTTCCCACTAGTTAAGACAATGTCAGAACTAAAAGGAAGAGTGGAAATCACTTAAACTGCTCCTCTACCACCTACTTGTTTCAAAGACAAGAAAGTGGGGGCACCAATTTTGTACTGATTTGTAGAAATGAGGCCCCAAGACTATCTATTGGTTGAAGTTTTCAAATACAATGCAGCTAAACTGTTCCCTAGGGATAACTCATTTGCTTATTGAGGCTAAGAGCAGTACTGCAGTTACTTATTAAGAAGAAGAAATATTTGTCCATCACAACTATATAAATATAAATATTATTTACTGATAGGTCAGCGAATACATGTAATGCAAATGTATGTACCATATCTTTTCTTTCCTTATGGTTGGAGAGAAATTCAGCTTTATTTGTGCCTTCAGAAGGCAGCAGACCTTTGGAATAGGACTTTAGTGATTCATTTCATTTCTTATAAAACTCAAAGGTCTTTCAGATAACTTTGGAGGAAAAAGAGTTTCCACCTTGGCAAAGTCAACTTTTTCTTTTAATACGTGTGCCTTTCTCTGTTTCCCAAGGCGACTAATAAGATATATCCACCCAGATTCATGAAATGTTTTCTGCTTGAGAGAGAACAGGAATGTTTGTTTAGTGTTCTCTAAGGCATTTAGAAACCAATAGGGAATGACGGGAAATGGGAAGTTAGTTAATTGTTTCTGACAGTGATTTAGAGAATATTTAGTTTCCTAGAAAGGAGGGTGAGTGTTATTTATTTTAAACAGTCACTTGGAACACATATTAGATCTTAGTTGCTTTGCATTGTGCATAGCTTTGCTCAAAAAGTTCTTGATGAATGACTGAAGATGTATTTATTTTAAAAATCTGTAAAATCTTGGGCAGGAGTAGAACATCCAATGCCTTTTCATTTTAGATAAAGTTAAAAAATCACTAAGCATTTTGTCGTATAACTACTTTTATTTAATAATCCTTACTTTAAAAAATAAAAACATCTTCTAGAGAATAAATATTTTAATCAATTAATTTCTTTTTTTTTTTTCTGCCTCAGCCTCCTGAGTAGCTGGGACTATAGGCGCATGCCACCATGCCCAGCAATTTTTTTTGTATTTTTAGTAGAGATGCGGTTTCACCATGTTGGCCAGGATGGTCTCGATGTCTTGACCTCGTGATCTGCCTGCCTCAGCCTCCCAAAATGCTGGGAATACAGGCATGAGCCACCTCGCCTGGCCCAATCAATTAATTTCTAATAGATTTTATTTTTAGAGGCATTTGAGGTTCACAAGAAAATTGAGCAGAAGGTACAGAGATTTCTCACAAGCCTCCTATCCCACATACACACAACCTACTCACTCTCAAAATCACAAGTCACACATGAGACTTTTAACCACAGATAAAAACAAATTTTATACTAGTCAATTCCCTTTATTCATTTTCGTTGAGCTTTAACTTTTGGAATCATTTTCCCCATGATTCAATAAGAGAGAGTTTCACATGCTGCACCAATTTAAGAGGAAAGAGGAAAACGGAAAGAGTAAATTGATGTTGGATCTCAATGAATAAATTTTCAAAAGAAAACTATGCCTTTAAAAAAAGGGACAAGAAATGAGTAACACAACACGAATAAAAATAGTGAATTACTAATTTTAAAAGTCCTGAATTTTGGCTTGTACCAGTCATGATGGAGAAACCCGATAAAGGTCATTCTACACATTCTTTTTTTTTAATTTGAAATAAATAGAGTCTAGCTCCATCACCCAGGCTGGATTGCAGTGTCACACTCTCAGCTCAATGCAATCTCCACCTCTCAGGCTTAAAAGATTCTCATGCCTCAGCCTCCCAAATAGCTGGGACTATAGGCATGCGCCACCACACCCAACTAATTTAGAAGAGACAGGGTTTCACCATATTGGCCAGGCTTGTCTCCAAATCCTGACCTCAAGTGATCTGCCCACCTCAGCCTCTGAAAGTCTACACATTCTTTTCATGTTTCCCTTTAAAGTCAGAGAATATACAAGAAATCAAAAGAGTGTAGGAGACAACAAACCAATAGACCGAATACTAAACTAACATTAAAACTTGTCTTTTTTTTTGTTGCAGAGAGCTTCATTTTAGAAGTGAAGAAGGCACTTGTGGGCTCTCAATTCTTTGATTGGAATTCCATTTCCAGTTGTCTTGGGATTTGAAAATTTTGGTTATTAGACTTTCTACATCTTTCCTATTTAATTCCCTTCAATGCAGTTTGGGCAACTATTTTTCCTCGAGTTTTTGCACACAACTCTATTCTGTAGATATTATGTGCAGTGAGAAAAGAGAAAATAAATCTAATTCTCCCTTGGCAGATCTTTGATGCCTTTTAATTCTAACCTTGCTGTATCTAGACGATTTATGATTTCTTAGAGCTGTCCCTGTTTGGTTAGAAAAATATACCTTACCTCAAAAATATATTTTATTGTTGTTACTATCATATCTATTACAAAACATCCTATCTCACATGAGCTGCTGAGTCACCTGTTCTAAGAGATGAAAACCATAAAATAGATTTTAAAACACTGTGCTCAAAAAAAAAAAAAAAAAAAGAGTCAAATGGCACAGCAGAAATCACCAGGGTGTATATAATAGCTTGAGAGTCTCTTTTCATTCCTACCTTCCTTCAAAGAAATGAAATAATACCCTGGAAATCCTTTTTTTCTGATAATTAATTTTTAAAGCTGAAAAAGTATCACTTACCTGATTAAAGAAATCTAAAGCATTCACCCAAGTTATTGGTTCATCAGCAATCAGTGAGACATAACCAACAGATACCAAATATGTTGGAAGATATCACTTGATTATTAATTTCCTATTTAATAGGACATATTAATTTCAAGTACCCATCACATCATTGTTTGATGGAACCACTTGACATTTGTTTCCCCACCACTTCCCCTTGTATTGTCAGTGGAGTGTGCTGTGGAAAGGTGCCTAGGGAATCAGTACAAATGCACATGAGCTAGGATCCAAAGCACTGTGTTGGAAAGGAACATTCTAGTACCACAGTCATAGGGAAATCAACTTTTCTAAGGGATAAGGTCAGAATGCAACATATTTTACAAGACACCTTTGCTATTATTCATTTGTGCTTATTAAAAAGAGAGGAAAATGCATTACACTGACTTCTTCCTGCTCCGAAACCTCGGTCCACTGAGAGTGTTGGGAATGGCACAGGCCGGAGAGTGAACTGCGGGTGGGGATATCCACAGGTGGGAGACGGGAGGATTCCTGGGTACTGGGCACTTTCTAGCGTTGGCACCGGGATGGCGCTCACGACAGCTGCAAAAGAAAAAGGTTAATGGGTTTTTTGAACCTTATGTATTCACTCAACAAGCAAAAAAGAAAACGGTGGAATTTTCAGATCCTCAAATCTATACACACTCTTCATAGTATCAACTAGGTTCCCTTACTTACCTCTCTCCACCAATCCCACTTTTTACTTTAGAAAAGACAGCTCATCCCTCAAGCATCATACTACGAAATATTACCCTGCAGTTTAAAACATTCCAGGGCTCCAAACAAAGAAACAGTTAATCAAGTTACCATAAATCCACCTTAACATTTTATGTCGGTCATGTTGTTTGTTTGTCTTGGTCTTAGTCTTTCTTTTAAGGATGAACTATGGCATTAGAAAGGTTAGGTTGTTCACAAATCAAATATATTGTGTAGAGTGGGTTGAAAAAATGTTGGGAATTTTCCATTAATTCTGTAAAAGAATGTATTGCTCTTGAGGGACAGTCGAGAGAGAGAGAAGCAAAGTGTTTTCTCAATAGTCATACTTAGGATTTATCTTTAAATAGAAAATATCTTCAAATACCCAAATCAGTGCAGGTGAGTGACATATTAAGTGTAACTGAATGTTTTTCAGGAATATCAACTTTTTTTAGTTACAGTGGCTGAAACCCACAGATAAAAAACATACAAAATATCTTCTAGGTTTAGATAGTATTGTTCAATTTCATTATTCAATAGCTATTCAATTATAATATATATTAAATATTCCAATTGTAGTCAATCTTTATCTTATATTTTCTTATAAAATGTTTAGCATTCCCTATCTTTTATTATGCCAAAGCAAAATTTAAGTCAGCTACCTGAATGATCAGTTTTAGCAGTATATTCCTGTCTATGAAATTAATAATTTATTTTTATTTATTTAGATGGTAATGCCAATAACTGGAGTTCAACATACACATACATGCATGCACATTTACCAAATGAAAATCTTTTCTTTTGTCATATTCCTCATTTTATAACATTATAATTGTAGATACAAATTACACTGCATATTGTAACTCAATGAGAAGCAACATATAGATTTCTTTTAAATTCTAACTGAAAATTCAGATTAAATATATAAAAGATAAAAGATTTTAAAAGGGCTGCTTCTAGTAAACTAGCTATTGAAATTATATACCAGAATTTATTTTTCAGTATATTTATAACGTTTCTTAAAATGCATTTGAACATGTTTACTTAAACTGAAAAATGAAGTCAGACTGTTTCAGATAAAGCATTTTGATGGACTGGTTTGAAAATGAAGAGTGACTCTGCTAATCAGATTAAATGATTAGTATTTCCTATAAATTGAATAAAAATATAAATCATTTAAAGATAAATCATTTCAACAAAAATTGCTTTAGTGAAGATCTAAGTGATATTTCAATTTTCCTAATCTTGTCTTTATTTTTCAGTAAAAAATTGTTGGGTTTTATTGGGTTTTTGTTCTATCACAAATTCTTGCTTTGGAGTGTAGAGGAGTGATGACATTAATAGAATTTTTTTAAAAATACATGTTATTGTGTATATTAGAGGTTTATGACATATTTTGAGACACATATAGATACATGTAGATAGTAGGTTGGTTACCATAGTGAAGTAGATTAACATATCTATCGGCTCACAGTTACTTTTTGTGACAAAGTAACATAGTAGCTAAAATGTACTTATTTAACAAAAATCCCTAATACAATACAATTGTATTAACTTTAGTTCTCATGCTGTAGGTTAGGTCTCTAGACTTGTTCATCTCACATGTCTGCTATTTTGCATTCTTTGGCCTACATCTCCCCATTTCCTCTCCCCCTCCCACCTGTGGGAACCACTGTTTCATTCTCTATCTCTGTGTATTTGAGCTTATATATGTATTATTTCACACATATATTTCACATATAAATGGGATTGTTGAAAGGTTCATACTACCCAAAGCAATATGCAGATTTAACACAATCCCCATCAAAATTCTAATGGCATTCTTCACAGAGATAGAAAAAAATCTTAAAATTTCTATGAAACCATAACAAATATTGAATAACCAAAGCAATACTGAGAAAGAAAAACAAAGTTGGAGGCACTGCACTTCCTGATTAGAAATTATGTTAAAAAGGTATAGTCTCTTCCATAAATGGTGCTGGGGGAATGATTTTCACATTGAAAATAATGAAATTGGACCCTTATCTCACACCATACAGAAAAATTAACACAAAATGGATAAAATACCTACATGTAAGACCCAGAAGTTAATTCCTAGGAGAGAGCATAGGTGAAAAGCTCCTTGATTTTGGTCTTGTTTATGATCTTTTTAGGTTTCACACCAAAAGCTTGGCTTCAAAATCAAAAATAAATAAATGAAACTGCACCAGACTAAAAAGCTTCTGCACAGCAAAGGAAATAATCACCAAAAGAAAAGGCAACCTAATCTTGTCTTTATATATTGTTACAAAAAGTGCCTCTCGGTGAAAGCAATTTTCAAGTTTATTTTAAAATTGCTGATAAATTTTGGTACAGCTTTTTATTGTGAACCTCCTAGAAAACAAGAAAGTAAATAACTTGAATGAGTAACAAATACTTCTGCAAGTCAGGTGGTTTCTAACATTTTCATTTAGAGCATAATTGAAGGAAAATCTCAGGTAGTTGTTAGTTGAAAAATTATCAAAAATAACAGAATAAGAAGTCACAATGTGATTTTGGCATGTAATTTGGGAGAAGTTCAAATTGTTCAGTGATTGCTATAAAGATCTCATTGTTATAGTACTCATTCATATATATATACACACACACTATATCTATCTATCTATCTATCTATCTATCTATCTATCTATCTATCTATCTATCTATGCAAACATAGGCAAAGGTTTCACAGTGTTTAGATCAACAACAAGCACACTGGAATAGAATTAATGCAATAAGCAACATTCATACATGGATGTATGCAATTAATGTACAAAAAGCCCCATTCATGTCATTAAGTGATAACACTCCAATAAAATTTTACGCTATATGCCATTGTGGAGAAACACTAATTGTAATGTTAACAAGATCCATAGGAAAGAAAATTAACAAAGACTCATAGTCACTGGAAATACAAACATAAAATAAAATTTTGGTTTATATAAATTTTATGCTGCAAAAAAATAAGATAGATATATAATCAAAAAAAGACCCACAAACATAAAAATAGATCATGTTTGTATGTTAATCTGTGGGGAAAATAAATTGTAGATTCCAGTTCAAGGAGAAAAATGAGTGGTGTTAACTTCTATCTGTTAACAAGGCACTTCCTCACATATTTTTTAAGGGGATGATGTTGATATCAAACTACTATGGTATTTTTGTGCTTTTAGATTGGTTTAAAAGCATGTTACATCAGAAAAATTCCATCTTTCACAGGTATTTAATGTGTAACAAAATATTTTAAGTGTCAAATTTTAAATATATGAGGGGATACATAGTTTTTCTAAATTATTTTAGAGAAGACATGAATGAACATTTGAGAGTAATTAGTACAAAGCACAATGCCTCAATAAAGATATTTTATGAAAAGCACATTATGGATATATAAACACGTAAACAGACTCCAGAAAAAGGGAAATTTAAAAAATGACAAGGAAACTTTTAAAAAGAATCAGAGATTCAAACCAGATACCAGCCAAAATGTTATAAATTCCTTAAAGAAATAAGTTATAATTTTGTTGTCTTTGTGTCTTTTCTAGGACAGTGCTAGAGATACTTCATATTTTTCAAGTGAGTTTAATATGAAGGATTTTCTAGGAGTATTATTTAGAAATCTGTCATTTTAACACACTGGAGACTTTTAGAGTGACTTGATATATGATTTACTCTCCTGGGGTATATAGTTAATATAATAATAATGATAATAATAATGTAGTTGAACACATTTGTAAATATAAGCCATACCAGAGCATAAAGTCTATTTTTAAACAACTCAAATTCCCAGACTCTGAGGCAGTCAACTGAATTATTTCACCTGTCTTACTGATCAAATGGATCACTGCAGTCATTAAAGTGGATTGCTAGATTGCAAAACATTCCCAGTATTGATACTTTTTACTCATAAATGTGACAATGTTAGTCTCCTTTAAATATAGAAAATACTCATTCCACAAACTGTGCATACTATATTTTATTATCAAAATGAGTATATTATAATACAAGCAATAATATTATTAACAAATGTTTCACAGTACGTTTAGAAAAAGAGTTTCATACGTATCTTCTGATTTGGAGCCAAACAAATTTGGAGAGAGAAACATAAAACAATTTTGCAAGCCATATAATCTTTTAGTTAGAGTGCTGAGAGCACTCTAGAGACTGAACTTACACTGCAGTTCCAAGTCTTTCATTACTGAAGAAAGAAATTTTACTTTCTAATAGTTTTGTATTTTTGCTGCTGACCTGATTACAAAGGGTTTACAAATAATAAACCTTCTTTCAAAAATAATAAATCTGTTGTATGTTTCTGCATCTCAAAAGTGTTCATTATTTTGTGACATCAGATAGAATAGCCAGTATCCCAAAGCTTCGATCTTGAAGTATTTTATTCTATGATTCATTTCTGAAAAGGCACAGAAGTCTACATTTACTTATAACAAAAAATAATCATTCTTAAAGTAAGTTGGATAAAACATTAGGTATTAGGATATCTTTTGGTATTTTTCCCCTTGACGTCAGTTTTGAAAGTCGGAAATACACACACACACAAACACACACATACACACAAACACACAAATGCTTCAACTCAAAGCATTCACTCCACTGCTATGTTTATGTAAAACAGCTCAGAGAGCGATATCATCAAGCATTTTCAATAAATCTCTGCTCTGCGGCAAAATATGACAAGAAATCTGTTCTGACACAGCTTTCTGACAATTGAATTTATCTCTGACATTGATGCACAAAATTTTTCAAGTAGAAATTCCCTCACCAAATTACTTAGCTCCCTGAACAAGGCACATTGGTATTTGAAAACTTCCATAATATTCTAAAATGTTAGCACTAAATACTACCTATAGGAAATCAAAAGTAAAGATTTTTTTAAGCTACAATGTTTAAGAAATAATAAAACCCTCCCTAGATATTTCTCAACATGGTACTTGACAGAATTGAGAGATTTGTTGAGGAGACGAAGGAGACAAAGATAATGGTATGTCGAAATGAAAGAGCTTAACTGAAATGATTTTTCATTCTGCCTCTTTTTATCTTCTCTTTTCCACAATGACCTGTATATTATCTGGGACATTTGGAAATTTAGCCTCTATTGTCCTTGATATTCATATCTCCTTCACATTTTCAGGTGTTCTTTGATAAGCAAGTGCCACAGAATGACATTCACAAGTATCCACAAACTCCATAGAGGGTCGCTTTTGGAAAAGCCCTAAGATTCATAAATATGTGCTTTGCAGTTATTCTTAATATAATGGTAAAGAGTCCTAAGTGCTGAAGTAAAACTGCCTGGATTCGTTACCTAGTTCTACTCCTTGCTAGTGAATAAGCATCATAGCCAGCGTCAAAGATGCCTCCCACTGATCCCACTTCATGGAGTTCACATGCCTGTTGGGTTCCCTTGCACATTTTACCAGGATTGGTCTGGTGAGCAGTAGAATGTGGCAGAAATGATGGTATGTCTCTTCTAAGATAAGGTTTAAAAAGATTGTACATGCTCACTCTGTTTTTCTCTCTCTCTCCTCTCTTCTCTATTTTAGATCACTCATGCTGGGGAAAGCCAGGTGTCATGTCTTGGGGAATCCAGGTGTTATGTCTTAAGGACAGGCTGGCAGACCTGTGCATACGCCCATGTAGCGAGAAACTAGACCCTCAGCTCAAGACACTGAAAGAAACCTCATGAAACAACTTGAAGCTCTGACCCTGAACCACCTAGCTAAACTGCTCTTAGATACCTGATTCTCAGATACTATTGAGAAAATAAACAATAATTATTTTATGTTGCTACATTTTGGGAGTAATTTGTTACATGATAATAGCTACACGTTGAAGAGCAAATTATTCACGCTCTGTTTTTCAGTTTCCTCATCTGCACAATGGAGTACCGATTTTATGATGTGGTTGTGAGGATTTAAGAGATCATCCACAGAGAAGTGCAACAGAGTACAGGGTCAGAAGTCAGCACCCCATAAATGTTGGGCATTGTAATTAATTTGCAAGGCTGCAACAGATCCATCCAAAACTGCATTGAATATCTTTTTTAATTGAAAATATTGTTTAAAACATCCTGTCTTACATTTGAAAAAAAGAGTGCTATGCATTAAGATAGAGGAAAATAAATAATAGTTTTTAAATTCAAATTTGAACCTGAGGGAAGTATGACCCTGAAAGATTTTTGACATGAGAAAGATAATTTCTAGTTCAAGTTCTTGTTTTGTCATTTATAAGCTGAAGGAAGGCATTTATTGAAGTCTATCTGGCCCAATTTTAATGTGGTTTATACACGCTTTCCAAGATGAGACAGAATGTGGACTGGCTGGCTTAGTGCTTGCCACAGCAGGAGCTATGTGTTAAGATCAAATAGGGTGAACTGTGAGAAGGAAACTTTAAGACCCCTGCAATCTCCTACTATACTCCTTCTATCTGGACCTTTACTCCTCTATCTGGACCTTTTCAGCTGAGATCTTCTCAAATGAGATGTGTCTATGAAGCCCAGATATATGAAATAGTTGTGAACATCCAGGTGTACATTTTGGCTCCATGATATTAGACAGAAGATGAGGCCATAGGAAAGATATAGACTCTGATCTGGTTCCATGGAATTCCTTTGAAATGAGCTTAAGGTATCACAGTATTCTTTTCTAAGCAGACCAGAAAGATTTCCACAACAAATTGTGAATCCATTTGCCTTAGTCATTCATAAGTTACCCCCAGATCTCCAAAACCTTGTGTGAGATAGGAAATGTTGTGAGGTTTAAGAAATGGTCCATTTTGTTGAAGAAATCTCTAAGATATTAGGAATTAAGAAATAATTAGGTAATCTAAGTCTTGAAGGATATCTGTATTTTTACATTGCAATAGAAACTCTTTCTAGAAGCTAAGTTGGTATACTTTTTATACTCCATCATCTAAAATATTTACTTTCACCAACCCTTTGTCAGATCCCTTCTTCATTACTTCTATATCTTTGAAAAACAAACTACTTCTTATCTTGTAAAATCCTCCCAAAAGATACAATTCTGTACTCTCTACAGGAACCTTTTTAAGCTCTGACTGTGTCTGCATAACTCTACTGACTTGCTGATTTTCTTAGTCCAATAGAATTAACAATAGATTAATTTTGTTTGAAAATTTATTTGCTTATAGAGCTACCAAGAAACGACATCTAGGTCTCCAGTTCCCATTCATTAACAACTTTTTAATTCCATTTTTATACAGAGCCATGGCATCGCACAAAACATTGCATAATGCATAATGAATTGTGTGCCTATAGAGTTTGAATAAAAAATACTGTTCCTTTCAGTAATTCAGAGTAAGAGGTGGAATGAAGTATGTCATCGAAGACTCAAAGAATAAAAACTGATATTGATAATGAATTGATCAGATTAGTATTTAAAATCATGTATTAGGTAATGAGATCATTTCTAATGCAAATTTAAGTGTGCTTTGAACTTTTTTCTCACCACCGTTCCTACAGTTCTGAATAGTTGAAAATGGGTGTGCTGTTGATATTTATCATACTAGAACGGCTCTATGCACTCCTTACTCCTAGGAAAGAATTCTTGGTTGGTTGTGGGCATCCACAAGGGCTGAAGGGTGATGGAATAAATGCCCAGTCTCAGAAGACTATTGAGCTGGGACCAATCTTAGGATGCTGGTTTCTCGCACCTTATATGCATGAGTCAAAGGGATGATCGTCTCACAGACGAGTCCCTCTCAATGTCCATTTGTGTAGAAGCAGGCCTCCTGGTAGGACAGCACCTAGAGTCAATAGAACTCCAGTTTTAAAAATCTGCCCTTTCTCATGTAGCTTTATTTCACTTCTCAACAGCTTCTCCAAGTCACTGTTTGTGTTCTACAGCCAAGTGACTAATGCAGATGGTGGGAAAGGGAAGGAGAGCATTGGCTCTCATAGTGAATGTTCTAGAAAGCCCAGAAACCAGTAGCCATTACCATGGCAAAGTGTATAACTTCCTTTGCTTCAGTGTTTTTGCTAGATGTTTCAGGCTACCTTTTTGAGACTTCTTTTTCCTTTAAAGAATGATTTCCTTTTTTTCCCTCAAATATTTACAGAGAAAGGTAAGTGACAAATATATAAAATTCAAGATACTGCCCAAAAACCTCTCATACTTTAAATGATCTTACAGCTAATCTGCTTCAATCTATATCCTTCCTAGTTCCTATTCCCCTCTTCCTTTTCGGCATCTTACAAAAGAAGAAAATGGGTTGAAAATGGCCAAATAGTTACATCCGATTGTGCAATACCATCTAGAAATGTAATGTAGATCTAAATCTTTCTTCAAGGAATGCTCTCATCCAAATTAAGTCGCTCACCCAAGGCCACACCCCACTTCTTGGAAATAGCCTGCATGAAAGATTACTTGAGTCAGGATAGAGAAGGCCAGCCCCACTTGCTTCATTTAGGACAACCCTAAAGGACAGCCTCAGGTCAGCTGAGGTCTCCATTAAACAGCATCACCAGTTCAATCCCACCCTTGCCCCAATTCTGTATCCTTCACCCTCACTGGTGTTATTCTGTATCCTTCACCCTCACTGGTGTTATTCCAGAAAGCACTTAAGCCAATAAATCTCCTATCTTCCAGTCTCTGTTCTGACTTTTTTGTAATTAATTTCATTATAGTAAGAAACAGCATTTAAAATAATTTTTGGCCATTATACAAATAGTCAACCTTTGCCACCATTTTATGGTAAGGGTAACTAGGCTGGGGAATCAAAAGATTGGGGTTCATCTCCTGCCTGTGCTGTCAGCTGGCATGTTTTTCATGAGCCTCAGCTAATTTTACTGTGAAGAATGCTTGGGGATAAGGAGTAGCATATGCCATATAATATTTTCAACCAAAAAGTATAATATTAGACAAATAAGAAGATTCTGCCTTCCCATGAAATTAAATACATTTTCTCTGTGAGTTTTAAGAGCCAAAATACAACTTCAGATAACTTATGTTTTATCTGTTAACATTTTATAGCACATAATAAGAAATGTCAAGGAAGAAAGAAAATAACAATCTTATAGGAATAATGATTCCTCAATGAAATAGCAACGATCTTTATATATGTGACTAGAAATCTGAACAATGCTATGGCTTTAGTTTATACAAGGCTTGATACCCCAGTAAGTGTAAATAATTGCAAATGGGGCCATTATAAATTTATCTACTCTCCTGAATAAAATCATAACTCTGCCAAGATACAGATACAAAATTTTTAAACATAGTTACCTATGGCCTTATCAATCATCTCAGATGCAAAGGGCTATTTTATCAAAAAGTTTAAGAATTTATTTGGGCCAGGCACAGTGGCTCATACCTGTACTCCCAACACTTTGGGAGGCAGAGGCAGGAGGATCACTTGAGCCCAGGAGTTTGAGACCAGCCTGGGCAACGTGGTGAAACCTCGTCTCTTCAAAAAATACAAAAACTAGCTGGGCATGTTGGCTTATGTCTGTAGTTCCATATACTCAGGGGGCTGAGGCAGGAAGATTGCTTGAGCCCGTGAGGTGGAGGTTACAGTGAACAGGGATCATACCACTGCACTGCAGCTGGGCAACAGAGTGAGAGTCTGACTCAAAAAATAAAAAATATTTTAAAATTAACTGTGTTTATATGTTAAAATAATTTTCTTTTGTTGAATACAGTTTCACCAACAAACAGCTTGTAGATAACAATGAATGTGATGTGACCAAGTTATTTAAAAATATACATATTCTATTGTCTTTTTTCTCATTGAATTATAATATACACAGGGAAAATTGAGAATATGCTAAATACAGTGCTCAATGTTTTTCCAAAGTGAAATGCCTGGCATCTGTAATCCAGAACAAGAAATAACACATTATGAGAATGTGCCCTATAGTACCTTCTGGTCCACTAATCGACTTCCATCAAAAGTAATTGTCCTCCTGAATTCTAACCCTGTATTAGTCTGTTTTCATGATCCTGATAAAGACATACCCAAGACTGCACAATTTACAAAAAAAATAAATAAATAAGAGGTTTACTGGACTTACATTTCCACATGGCTGGGAAGGCCTCACAATCATGGCAGAAGGGAAAAGGCACATCTCACATGGCAGCAGAAAAGAGAAGAGGGCTTGTGCAAGGAGACTCTCATTTTTAAAATCATCAGATCTTGTCAGACTTATTCACTATCATGAGAACAGCATGGGAAAAACCTGGCTCCGAAATTCAATTACCTCTCACCAGGTCCCTGCCACAACACATGGGAATTCAAGATGAGATTTGGGTGGGGACACAGCCAAACCATATAATTCTGCCCCTGGCCCCTCTCAATTCTAATGTTCTCACATTTAAAAACTAATCATGCCTTTCCAATGGTCCCCCAAAGTCTTAACTCATTTCAGCATTAACTCAAAAGTCCACAGCCCGACATCTCATCTGAGACAAGGCAAGTCCTTTCCACCTATCAGCCTGTAAAATCAAAAGCAAGTTAGTTACTTCCTATATAAAATGGGGTTACAGGCATTTGGTAAATACAGCCGTTCCAAATGGGATAAATTAACCAAAACAAAGGGGCTACAGGCGCCATGCAAGTCTGAAATTCAGTAGGGCAGTCAAATCTTAAAGCTCCAAAATGATCTCCTCTGATTCCATGTCTCACATTCAGGTCACACTGATGCAAGAGGTGGGTTCCCATGGTCTTGGGCATCTCCGTCCCTGTGGCTCTGCAGGGTACATCCTCCCTTCTAGCTGCTTTCATGAGCTGGCATTGAGTGTCTGCAGCTCTTCCAGGTGCACAGTGCAAGCTGTCAGTGGATCTACCATTACAGAGTCTGGAGGATGGTGGCCTTCTTCTCACAGCTCCACTAGATGGTGACCCAGTAGGGACTCTGTGTGGGGGCTCTGACCCCATATCTCCCTTCTGCACTGCCCTAGCAGAGGTTCTACATGAGAGCCCCACCCCTGCAGCAAACTTCTGCCTGGACATCCAGGCATTTCCATATATCCTCTGAAATCCAGGCAGAGGTTCCCAAACCCCAGTTCTTGACTTCTGTGCACTGGAAGGCTCAACACCACAAGGAAGCTGCCAAGACTTGAGGGTTACACCCTCTGAAGCCAAGACCTGAGCTCTATTTTGGCTCCTTTCAGCCACAGCTGGAGCAGCTGGGACACAGGGCACCAAGTCCATAGGCTGCACGCAGCTCACAGACCCTGGGCCTGGTCCATGGAACCACTTTTTCCTCCAAGGCCTCCAGGGCCATGATGTGAGGGGCTGCTGTGAAGACTTCTGACATGCCCTGGAAACATTTCCCCTATTATATTGTGGATTAACAGTCAGCTCCTCATTGATTATGCAAATTTCTGCAGCCAGCTTCAATTTCTTCTCAGAAAATGGGATTTTCTTTTCTATTGTATTGTCAGGGGGCAAATTTTCTGAATTTTTATTCTCTGCTTCCCTTGTAAAACTGAATGCCTTTAACAGCATCCAAGTCACATCTTGAATGCTTTATTGCTTAGAAATTTCTTCTGTCAGATACTCTAAATCATCTCTCTCAAGTTCAGTTCCACAAATCTCTAGGGCAGGGGCAAAATGCCCCCAGTCTCTTTGCTAAAACATAACCAAAGTCACCTTTGCTCCAGTTCCCAAGAAGTTCCTCATCTCCATCTGAGACCACCTCAGACTGTATTTCATTGTCTGTATCATTATCAGCATTTTGGCCAAAGCCATTCAACAAGTCTCTAGGAAGTTCCAAACTTTCCCACATTTTCCTGTTTTCTTCTGAGTCCTCCACCAAACTATTCCAACCTCTGCCTCTTACTGAGCTCCAAAGTCACTTCCACATTTTTGAGTATCTTAACAGCAATGCCCCACTCCCAGAACAAATTACTATATTAGTCCATTTTCACGCTGCTGATAAAGACATACCTGTGATTGAGCAATTTACAAAAGACGTTTATTGGACTTACAGTTCCATGTGGCTGGGGAGACCTTACAATCATGGCAGAAGGTGAAAGGCACGTCTCACATGGCAGCAGAGAAGAGAAGAGAGCTTGTGCAGGGAGACTCCCATTTTTAAAACCATCAAATCTTGTGAGACTTATTAACTATCACAAGAATAGCACAGGAAAGACCTGCCCCTGATTCAATTACCTCCCATTGGGACCCTCCCACAAGACATGGGAATTCAAGATGAGATTTGGGTGGGGACACAGCCAAACCATATTAAACCCCATGGATTATTTTACTGATTTTCTAATTTTACATAAATTGAATTATATAGATGCATCAGGTTTCTTTATTGCAAATTTACACCCATGAGATTATCCATATTGTTTTGTATAATTTTAGTTTATTTTTATTGCTGCATTGTACTCCACTATATGAATATACTATATTCATCTATTGTAATGAAGATGTGATATTACAAATAACCCACATTCTTATATGCACCTGTTGACTAATATTTTATATATTTCCATTGGGTACATATCCAAGAGTAGAATATATCTAGGAATGGAATTGCTGAATCAGAATATTCTTATAAATTTTGGAAAACTATGTGATGGTTTAAAACCATGTATGTGTTGTTATCTGATAATTACAAAAATAACAAAAATTAATTTCTGGTAATTTTATGGGTTCCATTCATGTAGAATAAGTCACTAAGAGAAGATTTGTTATTTTAGGCCTACAAAAACTCAGAGCTCAAGATAACAGTATGAAGCAATATAGTAGAGTAGATGGATCAAGCAGGGGTTTCAAGTTCAGACTCTCAGAGCCTCAGCTTCCATGTTTAGACAATGGAGATAGCACCTTCAGAAAATCTTTTTGAAAAATAAAAGGATATGAATAATTTAGGAGATAAAAGCCATATTTATCTTTGGAAAAGCAGTATACCGTAGAGGTTCTGAAGTTGCCCAGGTAGCCTAGAGGAAGTTGCTTAAGCTGTCTGAGTCGCTGTTTCCCATGTGTAAAATCAGGATAATCTTACCACATGATAATATTGTGAGGATTAAATGAAAATAATAATTAGCAAGGTATTTACCAAGTGAATAATATTAAACATTTTCATACTTGTTAGATTTTCTTTCTCTTTCTAAGCCTCTTATTTCCTTTTCTGTTTAATGAAAACAAGTTTAACTGCTCTTAATACATCAGACAATTTTGTTAGATGACATTCTATTTATAACTGACAAAAAAAGAGCTCTCCAAACATTGATGTGTTACAAACATAAGGAAGGCATTTTAATAATACATTTATTTGTTTTTTCATTCGACAGATATTTAGCAAGCACCAATTTTGTGCTAGGTATTAAACAATAAAATGTGTGAATATGAAGATGAATTAGATACATTACATCCTTATCATGAAGTAATTCACAAGCTGTTGGAGGAGGGAAGATTTGTACTTGAAAGCCTAAGCATATAAGGCAGTATTGTGTGTAATAAATGCTATATCGTGCTACAAGAACATGTTATTCAAACATATAAAAGGGAGTCATTATTTCTAGATGGAGTAATCAGAAAAGCATTTGTAAGAGCATCAATATCTACTCTGGTCTTTGGAGGATACATAAAACTTCTTAGGTTGAGCTATCCACTGAGTCATTTCAAAAGGAAAGAAATATGTAAAGGGAAAAAACAAATGAAGGACAGTGCATATTTGTGGATCAGCAATGAGTCTACCTTAGCATGAGTCTGGGTACATATAAGGATAGAGTAACAGAAATCTAGATTCCAATATGATATGCTAAAAACGTTTTTAAAAATTTGTTTGGTTTGTTTTGTTTTTCTTGGCAGACAAATGGGAGCCACTGGAGAAATGTATGGGGTGGGATGCCATGTTTAACTTGTTTTAGGAAGAAATCTGGCAAGCAGGATGCCTAAGAGTCTGGAAGATGCTAGAGCCGGGAAGACTTAGCTAGGAAGCTGTCTTGGCAGTTTAGATGTGAAGTCACAAAGAAGACATAAAAGAGTTGAGAATGGGAGGATAGCCAGGGATTCAAAGATACTGTGAAAGAAAAAGCAATGGCATATGGGAATTTATTAGATGAGGAAGATATTTCTAATTAGATGGGACAGGAAGGCTCCACAGATTCTAAAGTACAATAATGTTTGAGAAGAAAGCAATAAATGATTGGCACAGATAGAACTTAGTTATTAATACAAGAGGAGTGCAACTAGAGGGGAAAAAAGGCAACTAAGTGCACAGTATCTTTCTCAGTAGTGAAAGGTATAAAAGATAAAGGACAATAGCTTCACAGGGTATGACAGCTAGGAGCATAATGATTAAGAACACTGAACTCTGAAATCAGACCTTTTGAGTCCAAATTCTGGCTATAGCACGTACTAGCTGTGTGACTGCTAGCTAGTTACTTAAACTCTCCAATCCTTTCTTCTCTCTCTAGTAAATGAGAGAACCTAACAATGAGACGCATAACAATAGTGCTTACTACATGACTTGAACAGCTGGCATTCATTATAAATGCTATGTAAGTTTTTGCACTTATTATAGTAAAATTGAGAGAAGATGTAATGGAGCATAGGGAGGATGTGGCATATGGTAAGTAAAAATAAACAACTATTAATTCTTTCATTTGACTAAATGGTATTGAGTGCATGCCTACCATGTGCCAGGTGCTGTTCTGGGTATTGGCGACTCAAAATGACCAAAATAGGCATAATCCTTGCCCCTATAAAGATTATATTAAAATACAGGAAGCAAATAAATAACAAACACAAAACCACAAATAGAATAGTGTAATGCATTAAAAAAGAAAAATGAAGCATAATAGAGAAGTAGAGAGTGACCAGAGATGCTGTGTTAGGCAATGGTCAGGGAAGACCTGCTTATAAAGGTGGTAGTTGAATAGAGACCTGAAAGAAATGGGGGATAAGACATGTAAATATCTACAAAAAGAGATTCCAAAGACTACAGCAAGTGCAGAGTCCCTGAACTGAGATATGCCTATTATCCAAGGAACACAGGGGAAGGTTACATGATTGTAATGAATTACAGAAAGGAGCAATAGGAGATAAAGTGAGGGATAAACCCAGAGACTAAATCACATGGGACCTTGTAGAACATAGTAAAATTGGTGGATTTTGTTTCTACATGTGATGGAAGTCACAGAGGAACAACATTATCTAATTTATATATTGAGAGACAGCTGTGTAGAGAATTGACTGTAAAGGCAAAGGCTAATGAAGATTAATGGGTACAAAAAATAGAATGAATAAGACCTACTATTTGATAGCACAACAGGGTGACTGTAGTCAATAATAACTTAATTGTACATTTAAAAATAACTAAGAGTATAATTGGATTGTTTTTAACAAGAAGGATAAACACTTGCGTGGATGGATACCATATTCTCCACGATGTGATTATTACATATTGCATGCTTGTATCAAAACATCTCATGTACCCCATAAATATATATACCTACTATGTACCCACAAAAAATACGAATAGTTTTTTTGTTTTTCAAAAAGCTAAAGAAGAGACTAGTTACAAGCTTATTGCTGTAGTCTAGTAATCTGTAAGAGATGATGGTAGCTTGGATAAGGGCAAAACAGTGAAGGTGGAAAAGAGTGGTCAAATTTGGGAAATGTTTTGAAAACAATAATTTGGTAAAAGACTGAATTTAGGGTATAAGGAAATCAGAATGAAGAGGCATGAAACTAGAGTTTCTGAACAGAGTAAGTTGATTTATATAATTTGGCTCTGTGTCCCCACCCAAATCTCATCTCGAATTGTAATCCCCACATGTCAAGAGAAGGACAAAGTGGGAGGTGATTGGCTCATTGGGGCAGTTCCCCCCATGATCCTCGTGATGGTGAGTGAGTTCTCATGAGATCTGGTGGTTTTATATGGGGCTCTTCCCCCTTCGTTTTTTCTCTCTCTCTCTCTTTCCTGCTGGCTTGTGAAGAAGGTACTTGCTTTTCCTTCACCTTCCGCCATGATTCTGAGTTTCATGAGGCCTCCTCAGCCATGCAGAACTGTCAGTCATTTAAACCTCCTTTGTTTTTTGAATTACCCAGTCTGAGGTAGTATCTTTATAGCAGTGTGAAAACGGACTAATACAGTAAATTGGTACCACAAAGAGTGTGGCACTGCTATAAAGATAATCTGAAAATGTGGATGTGACTTTGGAACTGGGTAATGGTCAGAAGCTGGAACAATTTGGAGGGCTCAGAAGAAGACAGGAAGATGTGGGAAAGTTTGGAATTGCCTAGAGACTTGATGAACAGTTTTGACCAAAATGCTTGTAGTGATATGGACAATGAAGTCCAGGCTGAGGTGTCCTCAGATGGTGATGAGGAAATTATTGGGAAATGAAGCAAAGGAGACTCTTGCTATGTTTTAGCAAAGACTGGTGGCATTTTGCCCTTGCCCTAGAGATCCTGCCTCAGGATAATGTCCTCCAGGATTCATCAGCATTTTAATAATATTTATTTAAGGCCATTGATACTAGATGACATTATCTAAGAAGCAGGTGTAGGGAGAAAAGAGAGGATACCTGAAGACTGAGCCCTGGGGCATTCTCTGACTCTTAGAGATCAGGAGGAAGAAGAGAAATAAATGAAGGATACTGAGGAGGAGCAGCCAGAAGGGTAGGAAGAAAACCAGGGGCATCTAGTACATTGCAAGCCAAAGAGAAAGTGTTTCAGGGAAATAAGTGAGAACCTATGTCAACTGTTTCTGAGAGTATGAGACTTGACCATTGGATTTGACAATGTGGAGATTATTGACAACCTTGGCAATCATGGATTCAGTGGAGAGTGACTGTAAAAATCTTATTAAAACTAATAAGAAAGCTTAGATAGAGGAGAAAGTGCAGATAATTTAGAAATTTTTTTCAGTAAATATGGTTTCAATTGGAGGGGGAAGTGGCATTGAGTGTTATAAAACAGGAGTTATGACAGAATATTAATATTTGTATGCTTACTGCAGTGATAAATAAGGAAAAAAAACTGATGATGCAGGAAAGGGAAGGAGTAATTACAGAAGAGTCCCTAAATGGGTGAGAGGGGATTTCAACAAGACACTCAGAGAGCAGCACTAACAGATCAATTAGATTTGATGGAAGGACAAGGATACCACTTTCTGAATGCTTTTCTTTTCTTCCTGATATAAGATTATTAGCTAAGAATAGGGAAAGATGGGAGATACTGAAATCTGAAAAGTAAGAATACATATAAGACATTCATCTTATAAAGTGTAACTATGAACCACTAGAGAAATACAGTGTCATTTCCAAATAGTGAGAGCTCACCTTGGACTTTTGGTCATAAATATTCAGTAAGCAGGCTATATGTTTTTCTCCAGATACATTTAGCTATGAGGGAATGGGGTAAGAATTGGGGAGCTGCTTATTTTACCAGGTTTTTTTCAGGCGAGTAAGATGGGGAAGGAAGACCAAGGGAGATGAGACTGAAGATAATAAGTGACTATAAAACCTAAGTTAAGCTTGCAGATAAATGAGGACACGAAGGGGATGAGGGATGGGAAGAAATGGCAGAGTTAATGGATTGGAGGTCCTGGTGGGATTGAAGAATTGATGGCAAGGGGGCAATAAAGTGAGCAGGGAACTAATAAGGTAATAGGAACTGAGATTTTGTACTGGTTTGATTTGGTGTGACATGGAATTTATGAATTGAGGTGGGAAGGAATCAATATCTTTGCAGGCAACATAGAGGAACTAACCATCTAGGGTATCAGATGGATTATCTGCATGAATACTGTAATTACCAAGACTGAGCATAGAAGTAATGGGAAAGGAAGTGATTCTCAGATAATAATATCTTCAGTGAATGTGGGAGGATGACAGAAAACTTCAACAAGGGGTGTGTAGTAAGTGGGTGTCTGTCAACATCTGCTTTAAAGGAGCTAGATTATTTAAGTGTGAGAATTAGACTCATTAAAAAGTTTATTTAAAAAGCTATGGAGGATGGGTGCAGTAGCTTATGCCTATATTCCCAGCACTTTGGGAGGCTGAAGAAGACGGATCACATGAGGTCAGGAGCTAGAGACCAGCCTGGCCAACATGGTAAAACCCTGTCTCTACTAATAATAGAAAAATTAGCTGGGCATGGTGGTGCATGCCTGTAGTCCCAGCTTCTTGGAAGACTGAGGCATGAGAATCGCTTGAACCTGGGAGGTGGAAGTTGCAGTGAGCCAAGATTGTGCCACTGCACTCCAACCTGGGCAACACAGCAAGATTCTGTCTCAAAATAAATAAATAAATAAAATAAATAAATAAATAAAATAAATAAATAAATAAATAAAAATAAACTATGGAGATGATTATTAGAATAAGATCAATAATATTAAAATATATATCAGCTCTTTTATGTGAATTCATATATTTTACAAACAATTTCTTAAATATATATCCATCTGTTTGCCAACAGACCATCTGATTGTATACAAAAAAATACAGTAACGAATGAAGACTTAGACTTCAAATTATTAATGATACGGTTTTAGTCATTCCTCATTTCCATTTGTCCAGAAAGTTCAGGGAAAATTATAATTACTTTTGATAATTTGATTTTTTATAGAAAAGATACATACAGAAAGCATTTCATTTCTTCATTGTGGCACCAATATTGACTCACCAGGATTGTTGGACTGGGCATCCATGGGAATCATGAGCTTGGCCCGGGGGGCTCGGCGTGCAGCCAGCGACCTCTCCAGAGTGGACATAGAGCTCCCTGCTTCCTCAGTGTCTTGACCTAAAAAATACACACTCCTGAGAAACATGCCCTCTTCAAGGATGCAACACTTTACCTAATTTCTAGCAGGCATTCCAATGCCTTTTCAGTCTTACAGATGCTTTCTATGATAGTATCTACCTTCTTGTTACCTGAATCTATTTCATTGTACAAATCTTAATGAAATTAACCATAAACTCTAAACTCATTGCATACAATAAACCATTATTTATATTTTGATGCTTATAATTTTTGCATATGTTTATACATGTGAAAGTGGGAGAGCGTACATTAATATATTTTTCAAAAATGGCATTATATCATGCATACTTTTTGTAACCTGCTATAAAAGGTAACACAAAAATCTTTCTCTGTTAATACATAACTCAGTATAATTTTTAACAGCTATGTAATATTCCACTATATTAATTTACTAGAATTCATTCAACTAATACTTTAAGCCCAACCATATTAAATTTTATTACAAAAAACCCACAAGAAATAAACTGCATTCTTCAAAAATAAGATCAGACATATTTACATAAATTTATTAGGATTCCATAAAATATCATACTAAAGAGTCACTAAAAATTAGAAAAAATGGATATATGCAGATTTGAAAAGTTAATTATAATACGTATTAAAAAAACTGAAGTTCTGAATAGTGTATGTTCCCATTTGTGTAGTATGCATATAAAACCATATTGTGACACACATTTCTATGTGTATATGAATATATATATATATAAGTACACACCTATATCTATGTAATAAGGTTATACACAAAATTTTTAACATTGTTTTCCTTTTGCGAAAGGGATTAGGAATTTGGGATAGGCAAGAGGCAAACATATGTTTTACTATTTTGGGTACTTACTATTTTTTGAAACTTTTTTATTCTTTTTATTTTTTATCATATGCATGCATTTTTTAAAAAATTAACAGCATAATTACTACAATTTAAAATAAAAAATTATACTGGGAGAAGTCCACATAGGTGAAGTCATGGAAGCTTCCTAAATCTAACTCTGTCCACACATCCTACAAAAACTACACAGAATCATATAAAACAGTAAACTACGCAAACCTGGCCAGGCATGGTGGCTCACGCCTGTAATCCCAGCACTTTGGGAGGCCAAAGTGGGCGGATCACTTGAGGTCAGGAGTTCGAGACCAGCCTGGCCAAAATGGTGAAACTCCATCTCCACTAAAAATACAAAAATTAGCTGGGTGTGGTGGTGGCTGCCTGTAGTTCCAGCTACTTGGGAGGCTGAGGCAGAAGAATCGCTTGAACCCAGGAGGCGGAGGTTGCAATGAGCTGAGATTGCGCCACTGCACTCCAGCTTGGGTGACAGAGAGAGACTCAGTCTCAAAAAATAAAAGTAAAAATGAACTATGCAAATATTACTCCTTCAGCAGAATCACAAAACAGAAAAGAGGATACATTTCAAATTTCCTGTAAGTACAAAGAGAAATAATACTTTCTAGCAAAGCTATTTCTCAAGCTACAGCCACAAAGTCTTTGTGAAAAGCCAGCTATCTGGAAAGTCTGTATAGAAGAGAGAAGAGGGAAATAAGGATCACAAGACTGACCTAAAACCATCTACCAAAGAAGTGCACCCTAATGGTAAAAATACTAAAAAAGTTTCCTAGGAGACCAGAGCATTTAAAAGTGTGTGGGTTTTAAAATGGCAACCACTGAGTGTGTAGCTCATGCCTGTGATTGCACCTGTTATGGAGGCCGAGGCAGGAGGATGTTTTGAGACCAGTCTGTTCAACAGTGAGACCCCATCTCTAAAAACAAAATAAACTAAAAGAAATAAAGTGGCAACATTAGAAAAGCATCGCTTTGGCTGGGCGTGGTGGCTCATGCCTGTAATCCCAGCACTTTGGGAGGCTGAGGTGGGCGGATCATGAGGTCAGGAGATCGAGACCATCCTGGCTAACATGGTGAAACCCTGTCTCTACTAAAAATACAAAAAATTAGCCGGGAGTGGTGGCATATGCCTGTAGTCCCAGCTACTTGGGAGGCTGAGGCAAGAGAATCATTTGAACCTGGGAGGCGGAGATTGCAGTGAGCTGAGGTTGTGCCACTACACTCCAGCCTGGGCAACAGAGTGAGACTCCATCTCAAGTAAATAAATAAATAAATAAATAAATAAAAAGAATAGAAAAGCATCAATTTTGGGGAAAAATTATAGTGTCCAAAGAGTCAATAAAGAGGAAAAAGGGTGTGAAACTGAAAAATATTTAAAGAATTATTGGCTGATATTTCCAAAATTTGGCAAAAGACATAAATAAACCTTATAGTTTCAAGAAATTCAGTAATCCCCGAACAGGATAAAACCAAAGAAATCCATACCAGACACATCACAGTTCAGCTTCTTAAAACTACAGACAAGAACAACAAAAAAATCTTAGAAGTAGTGAGAGGTAAACAACTTATATGGGTAAAACAATTCAAATGACAGCAGATTTCTCATCAGGAATCATGAAGGCCAGAAGTATCCAACACATTTTTCAAGTGCTAAAAGAGAACTACCAAACAGAATTGGGTTAACAATATCCAGCAAAAATATACTTCAAGAATGAAGGTGAAATCAAGTCATTGTCCAATGAAGGAAAATGAAGAGAATTTGTCTCAAGCAGATAAACCATCAAAAAAAAAAAAGCTAATGGAATTTCTCTAAACAGGAAGTAGTAAGAGGAATCTCAGACAATCAAACAGGAAAAATGAACAACAGAAAGAGTGAAAATATCAATTAAATACAACAGACTTTCCTCCTCTTTAGTTTTCAAAATTATGTTTGACAGTAGAAGCAAACATTAAAACACTATCTAATGTGCTTCTTCTTGCCACTCCAAAAAAGTAACTCTAGATCCAACCAGTTTTCTTTTTCTTTTTTTCTTCTCTTTTTTTTTTTTTTTTTTTTTTGAGATTGAGTTTTGCTCTTGTCGCCCAGGCTGGAGTGCAGTGGCGTGATCTCAGCTCACCGCAACCTCTGCCTCCAAGGTTCAAGCAATTCTCCTGCTTCAGCCTCCCAAGTAGCTGGGATTACAGGCATGTACCACCACGTCTGGCTAATTTTGTACTTTTACTAGAGAGGGGTTTCTCCATGTTGGTCAGGCTCATCTCAAGCTGCCAACCTCAGGTGATCCGCACACCTCGGCCTCCCAAAGTGCTGGGATTACAGGTGTGAGCCACAGCTCCCGGTGGTAACATAGTTTTCAAATAAGTCCTTTGATATTGTTGGGTGTCTGTGTGTGGGTTTTCAGTTTTTTTTTTTATTCTAAAAATAGACTGTGCTTGATATTACATGAATTCATTGAAAAGTTAAACAAGATTTTTTCCTTTTACTTTTTTTGAAGCATAAAATTTTTTGGTAGTAACACTTTGTGGCTTGTCTCATAAACTTGCCACCTGACATTATTTACCATTGGTCCAAATGAGGTTGGGAAATTTAAATACAGGATTTAATAGACATGTATATAATTCAAAATAACTAATAAAAAGTTAAGTGTTAAATCACATTGCCCATTTGGTGTTATGTAGCTCTTTTATAGATGTTATTCACTGAATTGAACATTTTTAGAAATTGAATACTACCAAATGCCACATGCTGAAATTTACTTGTTCATTCTTCCGAAGTGAAGCTAAGTAACATAATCCTGTGGTGCTTCTGTAGTGAAATTAGACTAGGATAAATCCATTTCAAGAAACTAAATTCTATTTGTAAGTCCTAGAGATCAAATAGACCTGAACTCTTTCGTTTCTTTATTGTAAACTTTTAAGTAAAGAAAATAATTTTGAAATCCACTAGATGTAGAAGAGATGTATCATGAAGCAATAACTTATCATCTTAATTCCTAGATATTTTAGTGGCATCCTCTATTTTTGTGGTTAGAGAATGAAGTAGGTTTTGTTTAAGCAGTTTGCATACCAGCAGTAGGGAAGAATGAGTAAAATAAAAAATTAACTCTCAATAAAATTAGTTGTTGTTGTTTATGCAGCAATTGCTTGATTCAATTCTCTTTTCCATAGCTAAAGTATGAATACTGTAAACTAATTTCTGGTTTTATCCAAAAAGCTAATTTCATGGGCGCAAAACAAGAAAAGTACTTATATAAAAGTATTACATGAGTTAATTGAAACTGGATCAACAAAACATTAATTTGGGGTCAGATTTTTTTGGTCCTGGCTGTGATACTAGCTCTGAAATCTGGGCACATTATTTAACCCTTCTTAATTTGGTTACTTCATTTACTATATGAAAAGAATGATAGCATCTACCTCAAAGTATTTTGTGAAGATTAGGCAAAATAATGTATAAAAGTCCAAATCATAGAATTTAACATACAGTAATCTCTCCTTACATAGTTATTGCCTACTCAGGAACCCCATTGTTAAATATAATGTTTCTTGGTAATGCTGTTCACTTATGTTGAATTTTGTTTTTTTAAGCAGGAGAGAAGAATACTTAATTTAACATAAAGTATAGCTTGCAGGACTTTGAGGATTACTTTCCTTTTGTTACAAAATTGGCAACGAGGTCCTCAAATTGAGGACAAGTAGGCATAAGTACTCTTTTATTTTAAAGAAAACAGTCATCATTTGGGATTAAACCTTCCCCCAGGACTTATTAAGAGATATCAACTTAATGTCATCTCAGTATATAAAAGACGAAAGGAAAAGGTTAGAAGGATGTGTCTTAGAAGTCATTGGCAAAACCTCCTTAGGGCAGTGAGGCAATTCTATCCCTTTCAGTGGGAGGTGGAGGTGCTCTCCCCTCCCTGATATCCAGTCAAGAACAAAGCTAGAAGAAGAATCACTTGTAAAATATGGAGGTTCCTGCAAAAGGGATTTGTTTTCTGTCACTCCCCAGGCGAAAGCCTGTTTAGGCAGTGGGCTTGCTGTTCTACCCCGAGTCTATCTAAGCAGAGGAAAAAGTAATTGAAGAGAGCAAGGTTGAGAGAGGGCCAGTGGTAGAGTGCAAGCTCTCTCACCATTGGGTCTGGCAAGGATATAGGAGATTCTTGTGGGCCAAGTGGGCATGTGAAAAGTTGGCTGGGCTTCAGTCCCCTTGCTGGAATTTCCCAGAGGCCTCATGACGGAAGAGGAAGAGCTGTGTTAGGTGGTAAGCCTGGACTTCATGTCTCCCATCATGGAACTGGGCCTGGTCTACAAGGCCCCACAAAGCAGCCATTCCCAACCTTTTTGGCACCACGGACCAGTTTCATGGAAGAAAATTTTTTCATGGACCTGGGGGCAGGGGGCAGGGTACGGTTTCAGGATGATTCAAGTATATTACCTTTATTGTGCACTTTATTTCTATTATTATTACATTGTAATATATAATGGAATAATTATACAACTCACCATAATGTAGAAGCAGTGGGAGCCCTGAGCTTGTTTTCCTGCAACTAGATGGTCCCATCTGGGGGTTATGGGAGACAGTGACAGATCATCAGACATTAGATTCTTATAAGGAGCGTGCAGCCTAGATCCCTCACATGTGCACTTCACAATAGGGTTCATGCTCCTATAAGAATCCAGTGCTGCTGCTGGTCTGACAGGAGGCAGAGCTCAGGCAGTAATGGGAGTGATAGGGAATGGCTGTAAATACATATGAAGCTTTGCTCTTTTGCCCGTTGCTCACCTCCTGCTGTGTGGCCCAGTTCCTAACAGGCCATGAACCAGTACTGATCCATGGTCCAGGGGTTGAGTACCCCTGCCATAAATAAGTCATACTTCTGTTTCATAAGAGACCCAGAATTTGGATACCACATAGAGGTTAGCCCACGTGTCCACAAAAGCTATGAAGAACTTCAAATGGTACTTTCTTCTCTTTATCCTCACCTCCCCTCCCTCTTCACTCCATCCCTCTTCTCTCACATGCTCAGGAAAAGTGGAGAGAAGGGGAAAAGATGTAACAGTGTTTCTGAAACAGACTTTGTTCCAGCTTCTTCTCAATCCCACCGTTCCATTTCACTCCAATGTACTGGAGGATTGAGAAAACAAATTCTGACCCCCAGTCCCTAGAGCCAAATATCTAGCTGAGCATGAGAAAGGAGAATCTTTAATTAAATTTCAGATGATAGTTTTTAATGGAACTAGACTGTCCTTCAATAACTGGAGTGACAAGGAAGTTAGGAAATCTGCCTAAGACATCATTTGAGAGCTTGAAAAGAAATATTCAACAATCCATGGTTGACAGTCAATACTTGTATTTCTTGTTTATGCAATTCTGAGATGACAGAGTACAGTAAAACAGCAACACATTCAAATAATTCACTTTAAAAACAGGAAATAAAGCCACATATCTACAACTATGTGATCTTTGACAAACCTGAGAAAAACAAGCAATGGGGAAAGGATTCCCTATTTAATAAATGGTGCTGGGAAAACTGGCTAGCCATATGTAGAAAGCTGAAACTGGATCCCTTCCTTACACCTTATACAAAAATCAATTCAAGGTGGATTAAGGACTTAAACGTTAGACCTAAAACCATAAAAACCCTAGAAGAAAACCTAGGCATTACCATTCAGGACATAGGCATGGGCAAGGACTTCAGGTCTAAAACACCAAAAGCAATGGCAACAAAAGACAAAATTGACAAATGGGATCTAATTAAACTAAAGAGCTTCTGCACAGCAAAAGAAACTACCATCAGAGTGAACAGGCAACCTACAAAATGGGAGAAAATTTTTGCAACCTACTCATCTGACAAAGGGCTAATATCCAGAATCTACAATGAACGCAAACAAATTTACAAGAAAATAACAAACAACCCCATCAAAAAGTGGGCGAAGGACATGAACAGACACTTCTCAAAAGAAGACATTTATGCAGCCAAAAAACACATGAAAAAATGTTCACCATCACTGGCCATCAGAGAAATGCAAATCAAAACCACAATGAGATATCATCTCACACCAGTTAGAATGGCAATCATTAAAAAGTCAGGAAACAACAGGTCCTGGAGAGGATGTGGAGAAATAGGAACACTTTTACACTGTTGGTGGGACTGTAAACTAGTTCAACCATTGTGGAAGTCAGTGTGGCGATTCCTCAGGGATCTAGAACTAGAAATACCATTTGACCCAGGCATCCCATTACTGGGGATATACCCAAAGGACTATAAATCGTGCTGCTATAAAGACACATGCACACGTATGTTTATTGAGGCATTATTCACAATAGCAAAGACTTGGAACCAACCCAAATGTCCAACAATGATAGACTGGATTAAGAAAATGTGGCACATATACACCATGGAATACTATGCAGCCATAAAAATGATGAGTTCATGTCCTTTGTAGGGACATGGATGAAACTGGAAATCATCATTCTCAGTAAACTATGACAAGAACAAAAAACCAAACACCACATATTCTCACTTATAGGTGGGAATTGAACAATGAGAACACATGGACACAGGAAGGGGAACATCACACTCTGGGGACTGTTGTGGGGTGGGGGGAGGGGGGAGGGATAGCACTGGGAGATATACCTCATGCTAGATGATGAGTTAGTGGGTGCAGCGCACCAGCATGGCACATGTATACGTATATATCTAACCTGCACATTGTGCACATGTACCCTAAAACTTAAAAAAAAAAAAAAAAAAAAAAAAAAAAACAGGAGCTCCTCATTCTATAATCACATTATGAGTAGACCAAGGGATTTTTTGATGATAGTATTTGGTTGATGATTCCCATAAGCACTTAGATAATATGAAGACCCAGAGAAAGTGAACTATCTTACAATTATTTTCTAGTGTTCTTACTTATCCCTGGACACCAGTGATTGTTCTGCACCAATTCATTGAACAGTAGGCTTTTTTTTTTTTTTTTTTTCAGATCCCTTTGTATAACAACATAGTTTTCAGACAGAATCCCATCAAACTAGTCTGGGGATCACATAAGGTGACTGTATGTGGATGACAGTTGATTTCCATAGTAATCAAGGCCAAAGTAACAGAATATTCAGTTTTTTTGTACTTCAAGTGCCCTGATGTGATTTTTAAAACAGGGAATTGACAGTAAATTTAGAATTAACTTTCAATTATCTATCGAAATAAGGAACTGGAAAATGTACAGATGGCTTCAAATTTTATTGCCTTGACAAAACATTTGTTTAACAATTAACAAAAAGCAGTCAATCCATTTAGGATTTAAGTTTCTGTATTTCCCAACTGTCCTACTTCCAACCTCATAGAAAATTCAAGAATTATCAAAATTATAAAAGAATTATTAAAATTATATCAAGTCACAGGATGAAGAAAGACATATAATTGGTTAATCAACCAAATTTATATTAGATCCATTTAACTATTGATAAATGACCCATAATGACATGCAAATTAGTAGGGAAGACATTTCCATAAAAGGAGTGAAAAACTCCCTTGGGTTCAGAATGGTATGTTTTCCCTAATGCCAGTGAAAAGATAATTACCTGAATGAGAGGTGCTTTTGCTTCCCAGTTGGGTTTCTGACTGGCTGTGGCTGACTGGTGTGAGGTCTTGGCAACTTTGGATGGGAGAGTCCCTTCCTGCAGGGTCAGTGCCAGATGGCTTTTCAATATTTTTCATCTCCATTTCTTCATGATGGATCCAAAGATCAGGGGGTCGGAGGTCCTTCTGGCTGCCCTTCCTTTTGCCAGCACTGTGGGTGGCCCGTTTCCTATGGAACAAAGTTAGAAGGCAAATGTGAGAACCTCTATTCAATGGCACTTCCTTTCTTTCATCAGTCAATTCAAGTTAGAAGCAGGAAAGGAAACAAAAGGACTCGCAGAATGAGCCCTGTGAAACCCAGGAATTGGCAGACTTGTCTTGGCTGCCTTTCCTCTTCCCCCCTGGAGCTTCACCACATTATAAAGGATGCAGTGCTGAATCCCCAGGGCCTCGGCTTCCTGGCAGAGAGCTCCTTTCTCCAGCTTCAGCGGCTGCAGATTCATGTGCAAGGTGAAAATGGGTTAGATGGAACCATATGCCAATCTTTGGAGCCAGGCATAAGGTACCTGATGGCAACATCTGTTTAGGAGATAAATGAAGGAGTTGCTTTGAAAGGGCAAATAGAAATAAAAAAGGCCAGAATTTATGCCAATAGCTAAGATGAGGTCTTAGAAGAAAGTCTATACCTCAGCTGTATAATTTAATGTGCAACTGGGAAACTTGTTATTTGAAGACAAAAGGCCACATGAGGATATTCTTAGGAGAATAAAACACTTTTGCCTTGGCATCACTGAGTGTCCAGATTCAAACACAGTGAGACAGATCCTTTGAAAGGAGAAGAACACAGTTTGAAAATGTATTTCACATGTTTCTTATTTGCCTCAATAAGGCTTTAACAACTATAAATTTATTTTTGGGGTGATAATCTCTTCTTGAGGCTAGTGAGATTAAATGTTCCCTGTGTGATAAGTGAAGTAACACAATGTTCATGTTAGTCATTCTCTACAGCAGGGGGTCAGTAAACTACAGTTTGCAAGCCAAATCTGCCCACAGCCTAGTTTTGTAAATAAAGTTTTATTGGAACATGGCCAAGCTCATTTATTTTTGCACTGCAATGGCAGAATTGAATAGTTGTGACAGATACTATATGGCTCAAAAATCCTAAACCATGTATTATTTGGTCCTTTTCAGAAATCATTTTTGACCCTTTCCCTAGTTTTATAACTTTTAAATCTCTACTTGTAACTTCTATTTCTTTAAAAATAATGTCTCTTGTAAGAAATAATGCAAACTGTTAAAATCTAGTTTTGACAGCAGACTAGAGAAGCATCTACTTCCCACTTCCTTAATTTGCAGTGAACAGTTTATTATAATAACTACCTTCCATGGCTGCTCAATAGTTCATACAAGCTACTCTCAGTGAAAACACCTGTAACCTGTGCAAAGTCATTGGAGTGGCTTTGGTTTTCCGATGATGAATAAGTAGCTTTGTAAATACTAGGTAATTAATAAATATTTGGTGGTGTAATTTGTTGAATTTTCCCTGACATCCTTTTTTTTGTCTTTCTTGAAGCGTGCTGATGAGGATAGGAGATAAAGAATCCCAGACCTAGTATCTATTTTGTATTTTAGCAGAGAAAAAATAACACTACCTGCACTTTGCTGATTTCCTGGTGGCAGCCCCACAATGTTTTAAAACAATGGTCTGAAACAACCCCTATTTTCTAAGTGTCTATGTGTCTAAGATAATAACTCACTGATAACCATTTATTTCCTGAATTCATTTCTATATACTTCACTTGCCCACGGCAAACTGATCTGCAACTCACACACAGCTCCCTGTGTAATCTACTCCTGGTAACTTCATAGAAAATGTAATGTCATTCTCAAACTTGGATGTTTCACCCTGTTATCTCTCTTTCTAGAAGATCAAAATGCTAAATAACTTAACACCAGCATCTGTGTGGCTGCACACAGAGAAGTACCAGTTCCCAAATTCAGGAAAACATAGCCAAACTCCTTATTTAACTCAATATTTAAATAACCTGGAATAAAGAAAGTAGTCAAGATAAAATTGAAACCAGCAATAAATTACAAATTCTGGTTTCCCCTTGCTTACAAGCATGCCTTTTCACTTATTCATTTATTTGCTAGTTTCCATGACTTCAGTACCAACGAGCCCCAGATGGCTTCTGTTTTTAAAAGAGTTCCAAACCTGGCAGAACCTTTTTGTATGTTGTGATTCATAATCTCCACTGGGGAAGAAATTGTAGTTCCTCATAAAATGAACAGGCATTTTTCTGCTGGATTTTAATCAGATCAAGACAAGTTCTAAGAAGTTGCTCACCCACCCAGCTGACTGTCAGTCAAGAAGCTAAAGATCTCTAAATAGACTTTATTTCCTTTTTGTATTTATTCTAGCCATGACCATCTAACCACTTTTATTTCCTATCGTATCTCTTATTAAAGGAGAAATCTTTGGCCTTGGAGAGCCTCTCCTTCTTTTGTCCCTCCAACCTCTACCACAGCAGGTTTGTAATAAAACTAACATGTGCTCATAATTAAATTGTCTGAAATTTGTCTTAAAACCTATAGGAACAGGTGTCACCCTGACCTTCTGCCCATCTGTTGGTTCTTGACACGACTGCTGCTCATTGCAGCCCACGGTTCCTGTGTCTCACCATTAGATTCTTCGAAATGTGTATTCAGGTGCTCCTAGTACAGTGGTTGCCAAAGTGGGGTCTCTAAACCAGAGGCATCAGCACTGCCACTGCCTGGGAACTTGTTAGAAATGCACATTCTCAGGCCCCACTGCAGAACCACTGAATCAGAAACTTGGTTGCAGGGGGCAGTCTGTCTTTTAACACTCTCCAGGTGAATCTGTCTAAAATTTAAGAAGCACTATCATAGTGAATTATTTGGTTTTGTTTGTATTTTAAAGCTAGTTTTTCTATTTGACATAGAGTATTTCATGTTTGGCCCCTCTGCAAATACCAAATGTATCTTTTCCCTCAGGCACCAGTCATCCTTCTGCTTCTAAAATAGCCCTAGAATAGGAGGGTCTCCTTCTACCCCAGGTATTCTTGATAAAGGCAAACAAAGAACCCTCCCAGGCTCTCTGTTTTCTCCTTCTCAGATCATGGCAAAACTTTGACAGCATGGTCAGGTGCTGGTGCTCTATTTTTTGTTTTGTTTGTTTACTTATTTAATTTCTGCCCACAGTGCCTTCAAAATCCTAACTTGCAAATGACTTATTCTTTAAGTCTCCTTTCAAGACTCTCTCCTTCAGGGAACCTTCCTGACCATCTCAGGTCACTGTAATCTTAGAGAATCTAAATCATTTCCCTCATCTCTCTCTGTACCACTCACCTTGGCATTGATCACCGTGTGTCTTATTGAGCTGTCCAGCTGCTCCCTTTGTGATAATTCAGTTCCTTCAGTGAAAGTGGAGCAAACTCTGTTTCCTTTACTTCTTCAACATCATCCATTGTTTTACAACACTTATTTATTTATTCAATCAATATTTATGGATGATTGACTATGTGTCAAGAAATGTGCTAAGTACTACAAATGTAAAGATCAGGGAGGCATTGAAAGCTTAAAAAATGATTGTAACATGGCATGGCTCCTGGGAATTTCTGCATTGTTGGAATGAGGAGCATGCACTGCGGCATGACAGTTTGTGTGCATGAAAAAGTAGAAGGGACAAAAACATAGGAGGCCTTGGCCCAAATAGATACATTTTTAATAATATCAAGAAGTCAGTGGGAAATTGCAAAAAGATTTTTAGCTTGAGAGTTAATATTAATCAGATTTGTTACTTTGTATGATGCAGATCCCATATAAAGCACACAATAATTACTTGAATTAAATAATAAGAATTACTTTCCATTATTGACATGCAAGTATTTATCTGAAAGCTTCTTCTCTGGTTCTGTACTGGTTTACCCATTCCTTACTTTATGCATAACCTATTACTGTAAGGGGAGTTTTTTTTCCTTTTCACTTTTAATTAGTATGCTGGGGATGTGAATGAGTAAAAACCAACATTGGTTGAGTGTCCATTTTATGCAAGACTGTGTCCATTGAAGTTCTAAAATGCAGCTGTTACCATATAGGTTATTTTGGCACATCATAATAAATTATTAAATTTCCACTACGGACTCAGGCATCGTCTGCTAAAGTTGTTCCCAACTTTATTAGGCAGACAAATAAAGAGTGCTGTACTAATTCCCGTGGTTAAAAGACATGCCCAACATCTGATAGGGATTGAGGCAGGAACATTCTGACCCACCAGGGGTTTGGGGGAAGTCTTCAGGAAGGAAGGAAGCTTGAAGTGAGTGTGAATAAATAATTACAAGTTAATCAGAAAAAGATATATTGATAAGTAGAAACATTTCTCTGCTTTCTTTCCAAATCTTTTCCAAAGGCTTCTAGCCCCTAATTGTCCATTTTGATTAATAGCAGTTAGTGGAATAAAAATAAAAACAAAACCAAAAATTTGTATTAGAAACCCAGGTCAAATTCCAGATACTCAAATATATCTCAGAAAAAATTCTGAGATGGAATTAAGATATAATGAAGTCTTAAGGTAGCTGATAGTTCAAATCTCTTATGAGGTGAATATTGAAAACCAATTAAAACGTTAACAAGTGAAAAATCAGTAAAAGTGACCTATAATAGTTAAAATACTGTAGATTTCATTTAAGAGCCTAGACATTTCATCGTCAGTACTAAAAATAATTATTTTTGTCAAGATTTGAATGCATACTAATCTTTAAAACTTGCTGTCCACATGTCAAGTCAAATAGAAGGCCCAGCCAGCCAGTGGTTCTAACAAGTACACCTTAGGTTTTATTTACATGTTTAAATTTAAAGCATTCAGACAAGACTGTAGATCACCTACCCAGGTAACTGCCTTAGAAATGTAATAACCATGCGTTCTAGATCTCCTGGATTTGCTCAATTTCATATATTTTTGTCCTTAGTATCTGTGGATAAAGTCTAACTAATAACATGTGTTCCATATGTTGGGCGAGAAAATGTTATTGCCTTATTAAAAAACAGAGAAACAGGGACAAAAATCAACTTAAGTTTTGTTTCTTTTTTTCTCTTTTGAGACAGGCCTCACTCTGTCACCCAGGCCGGAGTACAGTGATGCAATCATGGCTCACTGCAGCTTCCACATCCCAGGCTTAAGTGATCCCCCAACCTCAGCCTCCTGAGTATCTGGGACTGCAGGTAAGCACCACCATATCTGGCTGATTTAAAATTTTTTAGAGATAAGGTCTCACTATGTGGCCCAGGCTGGTCTCAAACTCCTGGTCTCAAGCCATCCTCATGTCTTGGCCTCCCAAAAGGCTGGGGTTACAGGTGTGTCCAGCCTTAAGTTTTCATAAAATATAATTTTTTCTGTATTAGATGTCATACGATAATCTCACTAATAGAAACTGTGGAAGGGGTCTCTTCAAAGTACAGTAGTAAAAAAGTTTAATAAATAACTGAAAAGAACTGCAGTAATTTAAAGCTTAATGCTACCATGTGATTCTATAAATTAGAAGTATTCCATTGGGAATTTTTATGTTTTAAAAGTAGAAGATTGTTACCTGGCTCTGGACAAAAAAACCAACAAAAAAAGCTAAAGAGAATGATAGAAAGCATTTAGCCCAAATTATCATTATATTTAAAGAAACTGCCACCCAAGTATTAAGGGTCTTCATTTAGGTGATATGATTAGTTTACTATAGAAGCAGTAGAACCCAGAACTAGAACTTGGGTACTGACTTTCATTAGCTATTTTATATAATAAAAATGAAATCTTACCCACTAGTCTGAATCAACTGGATAGCCTAATTGTTGAATATATGTATGATTTTATAAAAAGGTTAGGTTTATTAAATGCATAGACACTTAACCTGAATAAGATATTACTGAGAGTCCATAGAACTTTTTCAATTCACTTGGATGTAATTCAAGTCCCCCAAAAAAAACATAAAGAAAAATTTATATTCTCTAGAACCCCAAAAGAGATATTGAAGAAGCTCGTGAATGCGTTTTCTACTTCAACTTATTAATTACATTAAAGTCCAATTTTCTAAGAGCTTTGGAGGGGATCTTATTTCTGTTTCAGATTGGAATTGATTTTGCTTTCACCTGCATTATCCAGTTTGTTCTGAAGGGCTCAATTGTGATGCAGAGGAGTAGCGGTCCTCAATGGAACAAATAACAAAAAACTAAACTATAAGGGGCCGGGCGCGGTGGCTCACACCTGTAATTCCAGCACTTTGGGAGGCTGAGGCGGGCAGATCATGAAGTCAGGAGATCAAGACCATCGTGGCTAACACGGTGAAACCCTGTCTCTACTAAAAATTCAAGAAATTAGCTGGGCGTGGTGGCGGGCACCTGTAGTCCCAGCTACTCGGGAGGCTGAGGCAGGAGAATGGCATGAAAATGGGAGGCAGAGGTTGCAGTGAGCTGAGATTGCACCACTGCACTCCAGCCTGGGCAATAGAGTGAGACTCCATCTCAAAAAACAAACAAACAAACAAACAAACAAACAAACAAACAAACCCCACTAAACTATAGTTCAGAAATAACTTGAAGGAAACATTTTCTTTTTCTCTATGAAAATATGCACACAAAGGGATGAAAAATGAATGCCAACGGGTCTGCTACTGAAGAAAGATATGAAACAAAGTGTGAACACAAGTAACTATTAAAAGACTTTGAGAGTGCAGTGAGGAAAAACCAAAGTGACTCTACAACTAACTGTTCTTGGATTTTCAGTCATTAATAGAACCACTTATTCTTTAATTAGGTCCCTATTTTTAAAAACAAGTCATACTCAGGGCTCAGAGTCTCCCTTTTCCAAATAAAGCCCTGAAGCTTTTGCCAAAGTGCTTAGGGTAGGATTTAAGATGACTGGAGATTTTCTCAACATGGCACCAAATCCCACTTTTGCACATTGAGAAGACTGGTGTTCTCTCTGTGGAGAAACAAAATATATCCAGGAATCCAGTTCATCAGGTCAATCTAATGCTCGAACATTCTTCTCACAGAAATGACACGGGGCGGGGGGGAACCCAAATCAAAAACAAACCCACTACAGATAGCTTAGTTACATTTGGCTAGTTTAGTGAATGCTTCAGTGTCTTGAAAGCAGTTATATGGTAGGCCAGGTGTCATTTTGGTACCGCCTCCCCACCTTCTTTTACATGAGTCCCTCTTAACTCTGCTTCAGAGACCTGCTGCCTTGATGTTCCACTGTTCCGTGATTTCACAACCCCTTTCCTGATAACACAGCACCAAGAGATTGTTCAATGCCTTACTCAATTAGTTACTTTCCCCTCCAGAGCCTTATTAACAGCCCTGCACTGTGGAAGCTCTGTGAGTGATTATGACTTCCCAGAATGCTCACACATGAGGCTGGCCCAGCTAAGCTCACTCTAGCAGGTTTCTTGCTTAGGCACAATGGAGCAGCACACCAGCTATCACCAGCTTCAAACTAGTCAAATCTCATAAATCAGCTGGTTAGAAAATTTGTCCTGCCATAGAAATAAATTAAATACAAAGCCTGCATCTACACCCCATGTTACTTTTCTTCAGTATGTATATCTTCCCCTGTTCTCTTTCTAAACATGTCACTTCAGAGTGCTGGAAGGTAAACTAGAGATCTACAAATAGAGTTACAGGACTTAAAGAAAGACAGACAGAGAGAGAGAGAGATGGAGAGAGAGAGAGAGAGAGAGAGCAAGAGCGAGCTATTAGCAACAGAAGGGGGAACATTATTTGCTGGAGAATCTTTTCTAGCAAAGTGTAAAGTACACAGTTGTCAAACCAGCCACCTATGAACCCATACCTCAGGCTTTCAGAGGTAATGTCATGCCTGAGGCCAATGGAAAAACCTAAAACCAGAACCAAAAACTCATGGAAGAGCCTAAGATAGTCAACTCAGTGAGAGAGTGTAGCTGAAAAAGACACATCAGGCTGAATTTTAAAAGGACTAGAAAGTCAAAGAGGCAGAGAATGGCTGTGAGATTATTGCTGACTCCCAGCACTGGCTGACACAGACTAACTGGCCAGTTACAGGGTGTTGCTGCAAGGATATAGGCTGAATAAAAATCACTTTTCCATTTTAAACTTTGTACTTTGATGTATCATTCTCTGCATCTGCTAGAACCTAAAGCTGCATAATATGAAAATATTCTTAAAGCCCTCAACACTTTTAATTTCTGACAATTAACCACAGAAAATAAACCATTTTGAATCTCAGAACTCTCTCTTCTTTCTTAACTACTGCCTCCAAACTAAGCACCAACAGGATTGTAACTGTACAGAGTCTGGCATTCTATATTTAGTCATCTCTCCAATAAGTATTGATTAACTGCCTACAGGGCTCCTTGTAAAAAGTGGTAAATAAGTGCACACAGAGAAACACATTCCTCAAATCTCGTGTACATGATTTCAGGGAAGGCCAGAAACAGGGGCATGGTGGAGTCTATTCTCTAGGTGTTACCTAAGGAACACCTGCGCTCACTTGAAAATGAGAAGGGGTCAGAGAAGTAAAAGCAAACAGAAATATAAGTGGGTCCCAGATGGATTTTGTTAGTTATCTTATCTGCGAGTCTAGCCCTCACTCACTTAATGATAGGCCTGGAATAGACAAAACGCAAGGTTTTGCCAGGGTTAGGAAGTAAGGACATGGGGTGAATTATGAAAGAACGCAGAAAGAGGACCATCAAAAATATAACCCCAAAAGACAATGACTTCTTTCCTCTTGGGAACCAGCTGTTACCTACTTTCTCTGCTGGGCTGAAGAGCGTCGGGTGCAAATCACAGCCACGATGACCACTACCAGCACTGTGATGACACCAACGGTGACCACAATGATCACAAGCAGGTTGCTGTTCTTCTGAGGAGTGACACTGCCATGCGGGGGGTGCATTTGTCCAATTGGCGGCTCTGGGAAAAGACAGGAAAATGGAGTTCAGGTTTAGGAAGATGTGGCAGAAGTTTTACCAAGCTCTCTTGGGATATACAAAGTTCCTAATGTTCTGGGCTTTTCTGAACTTAGGGGTAGTGATGGGAGTTCGAGGGAAGCAATGAAAAAATGAGAGGAAACACCTATTTACACAATATAAATAAAAACCTATGCCTGCACAAAAAACCTTATAGAGAAACGTTCATAGTAGCACTGTTCAGAATAGCCAAAAGTGGAAACAAGCTAAATGTCTATGGACTGATAAATGAATAAACAAATGTGTGGTGTGTGTGTGTGTGTATGTATGTATGCATATGTATGTGTGTATGTGTGTGTGTATATATATATATATATATATATCCCCCTATGATGGAATATTACCCAGGCATAAAAAGAAATGAAGCACTAATACCTACTATAATATGGATAAACTATGGAAACACTGTGCTAAGTGAGAGAAGCCAGACACAAAAGGACATATATTATATGATTCTATTTATATGAAATATCCAGAATAGGCAAATCTAGAGAGACAGAAAGTAGACTGGTGTTTTCCAGTGGATGGAAAGAGGGGTGAATGGGGAGGGATAGCTAACAGATACAGGGTATACTTTTGGAATGATGACAATGTTCTGGAACTAAATAGCAGTGATGGCAGCCCAAGCTTATGAATACACTGAACACCGCTGAATTGTACATTTTCAAAGGGTGAGTTTATGGCGCATAAGATATATCTCAATAAAAACAAGATTAAGCTTTCCTACTGAGTGGAAGGTACGGAGAGGAGAAGAGATGCTACTTTGTACCATAAGAATTCCTGAGTGACAAGAACGAGAGAGGCTATGGTTTATGAGGAAACACTATTTGATGCTGTAAAAGACAAACTGCTTGATACCAATCACTCACAATTTACCACCATTCCTTTGAAGATGCCATCTATAAAGCAATTTAATTTTCAACCTGTTAAAGGTGTATGAATCCCACCTAAAAGCAGCCACCGGGTTCAAAAGCCACAAAGTCCTAACACAAATGTTTTCCTGAATTGCCTCAGTACCTCGTGGCAGAAAATATGTAGGTGGAAAATAACAGAATAATAAGACATCTGTGATGAGTTACTTGCTAAATAAGAATGACTAATGACCCTTGACGTAGCTTTCTTAAGCTCTCAGTCAATGATAAATCAACTAGCAATACTCTGTTCTATGTCAGTCATGTTTGTCATTACAAGTTACACATTTCTTAAAAATTAAACATTAGGTTATATTATTTACAAATAATTTAGAAAGTATAAAAAAGCAAGGAATTTGTATGTTTTCCTATACCTAAATTTGATTATTTTTCTTTAATAACCTATATTAATTTTCTATACATCTTGAGCAAAATATTTAGACCTTCTGTACCTCAGTGCCTCCATCTGTATAAAGAATGTAATACTTATTGTGTGCAGTTACTGACAGAATTAGATAAAATACATGTAAAACAACCATCTCAGCACCTGATACAGAGGAGGTGCTTATAATAAAATTACATGACTAACGCAATAATAAAATGTTGCCTAAATTTATAATATCTACAATAGCATTTGGGACTTATGGTGTGAACTTCCAGACTGTAAAGGATTTTTTTTTGAGACAGAGTCTTGCTCTATCACCCATGCTGGAGTGCACTGGCATGATCTCGGCTCACGACAACCTCTGCCTTCTGGGTTCAAGCGATTCTCTTGCCTCAGCCTCCCAAGTATCTGGGATTACAGGCATGTGCCACCACACTAATTTTTGTATTTTTAGTAGAGACGGGTTTTGCCATGTTGACCAGGCTGGTCTTGAACACCTTACTTCAGGTGATCTGCCAGCCTCAGTCTCCCAAAGTGCTGGGATTGCAGGTGTGAGCCACCACATTTTTAGGAATAATACTGACGTGATTTGGCTGCATCCCCACCTAAATCTCATCTTGAATTGTAGTTCCCATAATCCCCATGTGTCCCAGAAGGGACCCAGTGGGAGCTAATTTAATCATGGGGGTGTTTACCCGCATGCTGGTCTTGTGATAGTGAATTCTCACAACAAGGTCTGATGGTTTTATAAGGTCCTTTCCCCCCTTTTGCTCAGCATTTCTCCTTGCTGTCCTTCTCCATGTGAGGAAGGATGTGTTTGCTTCCACTTCCACCATGACTGTATGTTTCCTGAAGCATCCCAAGCCACGCTGAACTGTGAGTCAATTAAACCTCTTTCCTTTATAAATTACCCAGTCTCAGCTATGTCTTTATTAGCATTGTAAGAACGTATTAATACAAATACTCATTGTGATAGCTAAATTAACCTATTCTCACAATTTAATATAATAACCCAGTACTTGCCTCAAAACTGAAATGACGTCTTTTGACAAGTTGCCTAAGAATCATTGCTTTTGTAAAAAAAAAAAAAAAAAAAAAAACTCATCAAAATTTAAATAAATTATAGCTCATTCATTATTATTGGAAACAGAAGTACTTCTACTATAAGTTGACTCTTGGAGGAAAAAACTCATCAAAAGTTTTTAAATAACAGCACTTTCTGTTAAAAAATTATGATTACAAATGAAAGAAATAGGATTTCCTTGAAGTAATTTTTACACTTACCATAAAAGAATGAAGCAAAAAATGAAAGGTCAAAACTCCCTTTTTTCACAGTTTTACTTATTATTTAAAAAGTTATTTTACAGTAGTATTTCAATATGCCCTTTTTGTACTTAATAAGTTAATAGATTGGAATAAATTAACCTTTTATGTGAGAACTTACAAGGAAGATAGTTAGGGATCTCATAGATTTTTATAAGCATGACTTAAATTTAACAATTCACTGTTTCTGACAAACTTAGCTTGAATCATACATAACAGTACACCTTGTCAACATTTTTAAAAGCATGGTAAACTGAAATTACTCAAATTTCTACTTCTATTTCTTTCTTTTCACCCTGGAAGACATCATATTCCAAGTCAAAAAAAATAACTCTGAATTCTGCTGAGTACCAGTGAGATTATATTGATGTCATTTGCCTGGGAGAGTCGGGGTTCATGAGGACTCCCATTACAAATCTTTGACTGCAGGCCTTTATGACTTCCTCATAAAAGTTCCCACCAGTTTAAAATTTTGTATTCAAGGTCTTTCATTAATCACTCAATCTGAAATCAAAGGCTGAATAATCAGATTACCTGACATCAAGCAGGCAATTAAAAAAGTCAAGTGCAATGGTGTCTTTAGTGGCAGTCAATTCTTGTTATTTGCAGGAGTTGTGTTCTATAAAGTTGCCACAAATGCTAATTAGTGAATACTGAATGATTACTTCTAGAGGAAACACAAGGTTAGCTTCCTGTGAGCCTCTGATCACACTGTTTTATCAACCAATTAATATACACTTTGTTTTTTGTGTGTTTCTGTTTAGAGACATCTTATTTAATATATAATGTCGATTCATTAATACTGAAACATCCAATAGCACTATAACTAATGCCTGAGCAAAGCTTTTCAAAATTTGTAGAGAGAACATATTTTCTCTGTAAGTCACACCACACCCTTATTGTGTTTAGGAACCTAGAAAGCACTTCAGCACTACATTTGGGGACCATTTTAAACAGTGAAGTCACCAACAAAAAGAAAAAAATGGAAAAATTGGCAGAAACATACCAAAAAAGGGGCACTTTCTTATAGTATGGGGGCTGAAACGAGAAGACAGAGAGTACCTTTTTTTCTGTCTTAGGTGGTGACATGAGCACTGGGCAACCCAAAATTTTTGCAGCTCTGCACACATCCATGAATGGCCATGAAAACACTGTGAGTATTGATTTGGGGGTTACAAATAAATTTTAGCATGCAGGTAAATTCACAAATTCAGATTCTGCAAGTAATGAGGATCTATATCTTAATACATCAAAAGACTGCTACAAATTAGAAACAAATTTTAGAGCTCTCAAACCTAGATTAGTGTAGTTAGGAGATCTGGGAGACAGGCTGGCTCCAGAAGGGGCAAGTGACATTGCCCCCTTTCCAGCTTCAGTGGGGAAGCTGCATAAAGTCATTCAAAGACTTGCAAATATCCTATAGGGCACTGTGATGATTTCATGAGATAATAGTTGCACCACAGTGACCACAAGCCCTGGCACAAAGTTGGCACTCGTTAGACATTATGATGTGGCTCAATGTGTTTTTTTCCTTTTTTAGAAACAGGGTCTCACTCTGTGACTACTGCTGGAGTGCAGTGGCACAATCATAGCTCACTGTAGCCTTGAACTCTTAGCCTCAAGCAATTCTCCCATCTCAGTTTCCCTAGTAGCTAGGACTACAGAGGTGCATGCCACCATCCCTGGAAAATTTTTAAGTGTTTTTTTTTGTTTTTTTTTTTTTTTTGTAGAGACAGGGTCTTCTTATGTTGCCCAGGCTGGTCTCAAACTCCTGGCCTCAAGCAACCCTCCTACCTCAGCCTCCCAAAGTGCTGGGATTACAGGCATGAACGACCAGGTCCACCCAATGTATTATATCCTATGTAATGTTCCCAGTTTAAAGGAAAAAAAACCTTGTATCATAATATACCTGTCTCTGCTGTTAGCATAATAGTGTGGGTATCCAGTGCCTGAGTAATCAAGACCTAGATGTGTTCCATTAAAATTAGTAATAAGGGTGTCACATTTTTTACCATCTCATGGGCATTCCATTTATTTTTTATTTCCATGATGTTTGAACATGATAAAATGTTTCAGCCTTTTCCTTCTAAATTTAATAAAGCAAATACATATATTTAATAAAGACTTATTAAATATTAAAAAATTGGTTCATTGAAGTAACTTGTTTTTATAAAAATTTTATAGACTGTCAAAAATGTTTTATATTTCTTATCATATTTTGCTCTCATAAACACTCTGCAGCAAGCTCATTGATAGACCAGAGCTCTGAGTACTTAATTATCATTGAAAAGAAAGCTAGATATTGACTCTAAGAGCCCTGGCTCCTACTTTGAGGACCTGGTCCCCTTGGCACAATGGCTGTAATGGCTGTGCCCCAATAGCTACACAATATCAATAGGCAAACAATGTGAATGTAAGAATGACAAGTTCACTTCCGAGGAAGGAAAGAGGTCCAATGAAAGTGTATAGTTGGGGATTTAACTTCACTCCTACAATTGCAGTTTACCCTGATAATGGCTTTATAATTATTAGAACACTTTGAGCTCTACATATGTCTTAATAATTTTATAAGCATTTGAATTTGAACCAAAGTTCATACGGCCTTGATCGTTTCAAAGTATTTCCCCCTGAAATAAGATGCTGTAATCAATCAGCTGGAAGACAACTCACAGATAATTTAGCCCATTGTACCCTAAAATAAGATATTTATCAGCGTTATGGGGGTACAGTTCCTTGGACAACTAAGTTTCAGAACATATTTATTTTAAAAAAATTTGGATTTTTAATATGCTGATGTGAATTGTTAATTGCCAGGAGGAGTGGGGCAGGGGTGGTAGAAAACAGATTCAATTATTCCATAAATATGTGTTGAAGATCCAGTTAGATGTTGGAGATACAATGTTGTAACCAAAAGAAGCATGATTATGGACTTCATGGAACTTGCAATTTACTAAAAAAAGGTAGATGTTCAACAAATCATGAGGGAAATAAATATAGGCATACTGCAGAAATACTGTGGTTTTGGTTCCACACACTGGAATAAAGCAAGTTGCACTAGTTTTTTGGTCTTCCAGTGCATATAAAAGTTTACACTATACTGTAGTCTATTAAGTGTGCAATAGCATTACATCTAAAAATGGCACACCTTAATTTAAAAATACTTCATTTCTAAAAAATGCTAAGCATCATCTGAACCTTCAGCGAGTCACAGACCTTTTGCTGATGGAGGCTTTTGCCTTTATGTTGATGGCTGCTGAGTGATGAGGTTGGGAATTGCTGAAGGGTGGGGTGGCTGTGGCAATCTCTCTTTTTTCTTTTCTTTTCTTGAGACAGACTCTCGTTCTGTCACTCAGGCTGAAGTGCAGTGGTGTGATCTCAGCTCATTGCAATCTCCGCATCCTGGGTTCAAGAGATTCTCTTGCCTCAGGTTCCTTTTCGTATTTTCAGTATAGATGGTGTTTCACCATGTTGGACAGGCTGGTCTCGAACTCCTGATCTCAAATGGTCTGCCCAACTTGGCTTCCCAAAATGCTGGGATTATAGGCATAAGCCACCATGCCCAGCCTGTGGCAATCTCTTAAAATAAGAAAACAATAAAGTTTGCTGCATCAATTGATCATTCCTTTCAAGAAATATTTCTCTGTAGCATGGGATGTATTTGATAGCATTTTACCCATAGGAGAAATTCTTTTATAATTGGAGTCAATTTTCTCAAACCCTACCACTGCTTTATCAACTAAGTTTACGTAATATTACCAATCTTTCATTGTCACTTCAAAAATATTCACAACATCTTCACTAGCAGTAGATTTCATCTCAATGAATCACTTTCTTTGCTCCTCCATAGGAAACAACTCCTCATCTGTTAAAATTTTATCATGAGATTGCAGCAGTTCAGTCACTTCTTCAAGGCTCCTCTTATCATTCTGGCTCTCTTGCTATTTCGATCGCAGTTACTGGGATTTCGATCACACTTACTTCCTCCACTGAAGTCGTGAGCCTCTCAAAATCATCTGTAAGGATTGGAATCTACTCCTTATTGGAATCTATTCCAAACTTCTGTTAGTGTTAATATTTTGACTTTTTCCCATGAATCACAAATGTTCTTAATGGCATCTAGAGTGGTGAATCCTTTCCAAAACGTTTTCAATTTACTTTGCTCAGATCCATCAGAGGAAATCACACTTTATGGCAGCTGGAAGACATATCTATGAAATATCTTTCTTAAATAATAAGACTTGAAAGCATGACTCATTGATCCATGGGCTGCAGAATGGATGTTGTGTTAGCAGGCATGAAAACAGCATTAATCTCTTGTACATTTCCATCAGAGCTCTTGGGTGACTACGAGCATTGTCAATGTGCAGTAATATTTTGAAATGAATCTTTTTGTCTAAGCAATAGGTCTCTACAGTGGGCTTAAAATGTTTAGTAAACCATGCTGTAAACAGGTGTGTAGTTAACCAGACTTTGTTGCACCATTTATAGGGTACAGGCAGAGTAGATTTAGCATAATTCTTAAGGGCCCTAGGATTTTCAGAATAGTAAATAAGCATTGGTTTCAACTTAAAATCCAGCTGCACTATACCCTGATGAGAGAGTCAGCCTGTCCTTTGAAACTTTGAAGCCAACTATTGACCTGTCTCTAGCTATGAAAGTCCTAAATGGCATCTGCTTCCAATATACGGTTCTTTTGTCTGTGTTGAAAATCTCTTGTTTAGTGCAGCCACCTTCATCAATTATCTTAGCTAGATCTTCTGGATAACTTCCTGCAGCTTCTATATCAATACTTGCTGTTGCACTTTGCACTTTTCTGTTATAGAGACGGCTTCTGTTCTTAAACCACATGAATCAACTTCTGCCAGCTTCCAATTCTTCTTCTGCAGCTTCTCACCTCCATAAATCTTCACAGAATTGAAGAGACTTAGGGCCTTGCTCTGGATAAAGCTTTGACTGAAGGGAATGTTGTCGCTGGTTTTATCTTTTATCCAGACCACAAAAACTTTCTTCATGTCAGCAATAAGGCTGTTTTGCTTTCTTATCATTCATGGGTTCACTAGAATAGCACTTTGAATTTCCTTCAAGAACTTTTCCTTTGTATTCACATCTTGGTTTGGCATAAGAGGTCTAGCTCTCAGCCTATCTTGACTTTTGACATGTCTTCATCACTAAGCCTAATCATTTCCAGCTTTTGAATTTTAAAGTGAGAGACATGTGACTCTTCCTTCCACCCGGACACTTAGAAGCCTTGTAGGGTTATTAATTCGCCTAATTTCAACAGTGTTGTGCTCAGAGAATAGAGAAGCCCCAAAAGGGGGAGAGAGACAGGCTGGTTGGTGGGGCAGCTGGAACACACAACAGTTTATCGGTTAAGATCATCATCTTATATGGGTGCAGTTTGTGGTGCCCCAAAGCAATTACAATAGTAATGTCAAAGATCACTGATCACAGACCATCGTAGCAGATATAATAATAATTTAAAAGTTTGAAATATTAGAAAAATTACCAAAATGTCACATAGAGACATGAAGTGAGCACAAGCTGTTAGAAAAATGTTGCCAATAGTCTTGCACAATGCAGGGTTAGCACAAGCTTTCAATTTGGAAAAACTGCAGTATCTGTGAAGCACAATAATGTGAAGCACAATAAAAGGAAGGATGCCTGTATAAAATTACAATTATAACTAGTGCTAAAAAGAAAAGTAGAAAGATTCATGTAGAGAGGTATAACAATGAGAATGTATGGCTGTTGGTGGGGGCTCATGAAAGGACTTATTATGAAAGCAACAGGCTGAAGCATGAGTTATTGCTAAGCATCAGCTCCTATTCCTTTAAACAGAACTGAGAGCAGCCCATGTGCCTGGAACACAGCCAGCAAAAGGGATAATGGCATAAGAGGAGGCTACACAGAGAAAGAGGACCCAGTTTTACTGAGTCTGTAGATTACATTCAGTTATCTTAAATGCAATCACAGACCCTCTAACGGGTTTCAGCAAGCCAGAAACAGACGTGATTTGTTTTAAGAAGACCACTCTGGCTGTTGTGTGGAGAGGGGTCAGTGGTGGAAGCATGGAGATCAGCTAAGAGGTTATTGAAGTTCTCCAAATGAGAGATGATGATAGCTTGACCTGAGACAGTGGCAATTACAATCAGGCAAAGTGGCCAGTTACACAATACAGTTTGAAAGTAAATGAGCACAACACCGGTTGGATATGGGGGAGGAAAGAATGAGAGACTCAGGTTCAAGCCTAAGTAGTAGTCCTCATGTCTTGAGATGAGGGAAAGGGTGAAAGGGAAGGCTCAAAGAGGGAAGAGCAAAAGTTTAGTCTTGAATACGTCGGGGTGGAGATCTCATGATAATTATTAAAGAAACAGCCAGAACATTGATCTCTCTCTGCATTAATGATATACATTTGGGAGTTGGCACATGGATGGAATTCCGATCCATGGAAAGGATGAGATCACCAAAATCAAGAGGTTAAGACTGAGCAGAGAAGCACTGTCAAGGTTAAAACCTACTTTTCAAACAGAAGACAAAGGCCTGGCAAAAGGGCAGTGAGGTGCCATACCACTTTCCTGATGCTTATCTGACAATGGGACACTTGATTTATTTATTTTCTCAGAGCTTCTCAAGAGGACCCATGTACCTTGGAGCAACCTACAGGGTATGCTAATCTAGCTCAGTGGTTTCCAACTGGGAAGATTCCCTCCCTGCCAAGGGGGAAATTTGGCAATGTCTACAGACATTTTGGATTGCTACAACATGGAGGAGAGGAGATATTACTGGCATCCAGTGGGTAAAGGCCAGAGATGCTGCTAAACATCCTGAACAGGACATGTGCCCACAACAAAGAAAAATCCAATCTTACATGTTAATGCTGGTGAGGTTCAGAAGTGCTGCTCTAGCTTAACAGTTTCTAGGTCCAGATGAAAATTGAGATCCGGAGTTTAAGTGACTTGATTTGTCACACAGCTCTAAGCTCTACAAAGTCAGGTCTAGAATCTGGGTTTAGACTAGGACTTTTAAAAATCCTTTGGGATAAAGATAATGGGTGGATGATAGGTGAGCAGTCTCTTGTAATCACTGAACTAGAACCTAGGACCTCAGATTACTCTAGTTATCTTTTCTTTTCATCTGGAAAAAAAGCTGTAAAATTTTGTTTCTGTATCTTTTCTTTTGCATTAAGATTTCTGCTGAGTGTAGCATTGGGTGTCTTCTAATAGTTACCAACCTTGGAATGATCATTTTATAGAAGTGTGGAAAGAGTTTTATGTATACTTTATTTACATTGGTTAAAATGTTATTGAATTCTAAAAAAAAAAAAACAGGTTTGCAAAAATAGAGAGCAAACTGCTTCTTTTCTGACAAATTTTATAGAGCACTTAATATGATTCTGAGTATTTAAAAATTAATAATGTTGATCTATTTATTAACATTGATGTACCAAAGTTTTAAAACTCATCAAGTTTAACTTTATCTTTAAAGGTTGAGGTCAATAAAATACTATTATGAGGTTTATAGATCTTTTAATCAAACTTGTTACACTGATTTTACAAATTATAGGTAGAGCTATAGAAAAAAGGAAATTGCCATTTTATCTTCTCTAATCAGAAAGGGAGGATTATGTTGAAGCAATTTTCATAGTTCCGTCATTTATACAAATATAAACTACAAAACACATTTCCAGATATTGAAGAATTTTTCTGCATTAAGAATGTGGACCATAATCTAAAATTGAATGCATCATAAAAGAAAAATACGGCCGGGCGCGGTGGCTCACGCCTGTAATCCCAGCACTTTGGGAGGCCGAGGCGGGCGGATCACGAGGTCAAGAGATCGAGACCATCCCGGCTAAAACGGTGAAACCCCGTCTCTACTAAAAATACAAAAAAATTAGCCGGGCGTAGTGGCGGGCGCCTGTAGTCCCAGCTACTTGGGAGGCTGAGGCAGGAGAATGGCGTGAACCCGGGAGGCGGAGCTTGCAGTGAGCCGAGATCCCGCCACTGCACTCCAGCCTGGGCGACAGAGCGAGACTCCGTCTCAAAAAAAAAAAAAGAAAAATACTACTACATCACCACATATTAGCTTTGATTCTACCTGCCATCAGAAAATAATTTAGGAAGCCTCTTTCAGTTCTACCATTTAATTAAGGGCTTCCAACTACAGGAGTAAACATGAACTATAGTTTGGTTTTTCTTTATTTGAATTCCAAGAGTACATTTTTAAGAGTGGCACGCTGTAAGAGAAAGTAAATGATTAGCAAGGTCTAAATTTATTTGCAACTGGCTTGAGTATCCTGACAGTAAGCCATTATTCTATTACAATGCTTTGAAGAATGAATCCAGCAAGTGTAGAGGGAGCTAGGAAACCTCTATAATTCTGTCACTCTAAGGGGAGACGTATGAAATTTTATTGTATACAAGGTTTAAAAACTCAGACATTAAATGTTTTGATGTAGCCCACTTTATAAGGGTGAAGTACAATTGGAGTTTTATTACTCAGGGGCCTCACTTGCACATCTACTTGGAAAACATACCCCCCTTTTAAAGCTTAAGACATTAGCAAAAATTTAATTAGAAATCTGAGGTTTTCAGATGCCTTTGCTGATTTGCTTGTAATAGCCAAGGCTAAAGTTATATTATATACTTATCATCATTTATTTGCTAGCAAAATAGAATAGGAAGCAGATAAAGTTTGGCCTCTACCATCCCTGGCTCTCTGAAGTTATCAGTTCACCTTAATCAGCCAGACAGCCTGAAATAATTTGTTATTCCAGTAGGGAATCTAGAAATATTTCAGATACGTTATTCATCTCATTCATTTAGCATGAAATCCCTAAAACATCATTAAGTGATGCAGAAAATTGGGAAGAAGTAATGTCAATAACGCATCTAAACTGCTTCAAAGCTACTGAATGGCATCGGTCTATTTAATCTTCACGACTTTCTCCTGTGAGATAATGTGTACCAGGTCAAATTTAATTTTGGTCAGTTTTCTCACTAGGAATCTTAAATGGTAAAACAAAAATGAACCCAATGATGTGGATTTCTCTTTCTCTTCTTCTAACATCTGACACCTTTGAAAAGGAAAGTGATTGTTGACTTATATGCTCATGTCAAATGTGGGCTGGGATTTCTTTTCAACCAAAAATTTATTTTAATTTGAATAGCAACTTCAAATAGTCAACAACAAACTTTTGAATTCAATCTGAAATTGGGATTTCCAGATTTCACAATTAAAAATACAGGAGGCCCAATTAGGTTAGAATTATTTCTAGTTGCCTATTCATGTATACCTAGGGGTGCATATATAAATTGAGATGGCAATCCCTTTTATAATTTTTCTTTATCTATTACTCACAGAAATAATTTAAATGTTACTTGGCCTCTTTATATTTTTAATTGCAATATCTGGCAATTCTTCCCAATACTGGAGTCCTTTTGGACATGCAGTTTAAGAGAGTACATAGTTTTGTGTCTGTGGCTTACATTTGCCCAAGCTTTAAGCCTCATAACCACTGCTCAGTAGTGGTTGAAACCTATAGGTTAATTTCTCTCTCTCATTCATCCATACCAAATCCCTCTTTAATTTTCTGGCAGTATGTCTCTTCAAAAAGTACTGTCCCGTACCAGTATAGATAGTATTCCCTTGACTGGGAATGAATTTCAATGTGAAAATCCTTGTAGAAATAGCTTCTTAAAATTGGCTCTGTTGGATGATTCTAAAGGGGACAATGCTAATTTCCTGCATGAACTCCAAAGTCAGAAGCTCTGTATCTCAGGGTATAAAATACAACAATTATGTTTCTCCCAATTTCAGCAACTTCCTTTTTTTACCCTGCTATATATCTCTAGGGATTTTCTCATCCTCTTTCATCTTCCTGGGGTGTATATTTCTGCTTTGTCCACCCAGGCAATTAACCCTCTTGGTGTATTGGTCCTGCAGTGGTCTGTCCTTCAGTTTGCGCCCATAGCTCATTGCAAGTGCCCTGCACTCGCTGAGGGCTTAGTCGCATTTCTTGACTGACTGCTTGAATACATATAATGTTTTTGGCTTATTGTTGAAATTTAAGATAAAATTTGGAGCACGAGAGTGAGCTAATGAAATTGCAAAGTTGGGAGGAGGGAATTATTGTTACTTATGCCCATTTTATGGAGCATGGCCTGGGGTCTGTTTTCTGTCTCAACAAGTCCCTCCTCTCACCTTCTGTGAGCTTTTTTTTTTTTTTTTTTTTTTTTTTTTGAGATGGAGCCTTGCTCTGTTGCCCAGGCTGTAGTGTAGTGGTGTGATCTCGGCTCACTGCAACCTCTGCCTCCTGGGTTCAAGTGATTCTCCTGTTGCCTCAGCCTCCTGAGTACCTGGGACTACAGGTGCGTGCCACCACTCCTGGCTAATTTTTTGTGTTTTTAGTAGAGACAGGGTTTCACCGTGTTAGCCAGGATGGTCTCGATTTCCTGACCTCGTGATCTGCCCGCCTCGGCCTCCCAAAGTGCTGGGATTACAGGCGTGAGCCACCACACCCAGCCCTGTGTGCTTCCTAAACTACCTGTTGGGTATGTTAGGGACTGCCAGAGCAAGGTGTTAGTTAAAACAAGTGTCTGAAAGTCAAATACCTACCAGGGACAGTCATGTTATTTAAATGAAGGAAAATGAGGAGTCTAAGAGACAATAGGAAGTTGTGAGTAGCCTGGAAAGAGCATCCTGGGAAGCTTGCTATGGTCTGAATGCTTGTGTCCTTCCAAAATTCTTATGTTGAAACCTAATCCCTGTTAGGGAGGCATTAAGAGGTGGAGGCTTTGGGAGATAATTAGGTCATGAGAGTGGTGGCCTCATAAACGGGATTAGTGCCCTTATTTTAGAAAAAGCCTGAGGGAGCTTGCTCACCCTTTCCAAACACCATGGGAGAACACAGCTGGAAGGCATCAACTGTGAAGCAGAGAATGAGCCCTCAGCAGACTCCCAGTCTGCTGGCACCTTGATCTTGGACTTCCTAGCATCCAAAACTGTGAGCAATAAATTTCTGTTGTTTATAAGTTACCCCAAATCTGGGGTATTTTTTAATAGCAGCAGAAATGGACTCAAAGTTTAAACATAAGACGTTCTACGTGTTGCTGGTTAGGAAAAAGGCATTAATAACAGAGGAAGGTATTGCCAGGCAATTCAAAAATAAGTCAAGAGGTGAAAATATATTTCTAAGTCTACCATTGGCCAGAGGAGAGATAACCCTAAGTCTTTGATGCAAGCATTTGGTGTACTCTGTATATATATATATCCTCTTGGGAAAATTGCTGCATTAGATTATCACAGCCTATGATAAGAAATAATCACTTAATTTACACCACTATTCTATTTCACATGCAGCAAACTATTTTTAGATTGGAATTTTGACTTCCTTTCTGGATTTTTTAAAAGGAGATCAAACAAATGGAAATTTATCAGTTCAGTAATCAAGTTTCTTAAGAAAACCTGCAAAAATGGTTAATTTTGTTGTTTCATAAAATAGAATACTGTACAGCAGCCAAGATAAATGAGTGAGAGCTATTTGTAAACACATGGATACATCTTCAAAACTACGTTAAAAAAGAAAGCAAGTTGTAGCAGGATACAATATCATTTCTATAAATTTGTAAAACTGTAAAACAATATAATGTTTAGGGATACGTATACATACGTAGTAAACATCAAATTAGAGCACTTATATCAGAGTGAGGAACAGTGTTAAGAAGCATGTGAGAAAACACAGACATACAAGATATTTCAATTCCATGCTGTATATTTCATATCTTAACCTTGCTGATGGGTATACAAGTGTTCATCTTCACATTTTGAATATCTGAAGGTCTTTTTAGTAAGTCAAACCAAACAACAGCAATAATGAAAAAGAAACTTATAACATGGCCTCATACATACATTAGTCCCCTGAAAATTTGGCCAGTATTAGTCCATCCTTTTAAAGTTTGTTTCAGCAAAACTAAGGATAAGATCCTGGAATGCAGCCCCCACACCAACCTTGTCCTTCTATGTAGCTCTAGATAGTACCTCCATCTGGTCATCCTTAAAGCCAGCAGATATTTGGGCATGCTCCACTAGGATGAGCAGAAATAAATGTCTAATGTAGACAACACAAAGAAAATTTAGCCCTAAGATGGTAGAGGATTTTGAAGAATTAAATGTACCCTGCAGGCAAAAATCCAAGTAACTTTAATATATGAAACTGGGTGGGTTTCAATTTAACCAACCTTAGATATCACCTCTCTCAAATAAAATTAGATTCCTGCAAACATCTTAAATGTATTGTAACATTTAAAAATCTTGGTATTTAACAGCTTTGTGTCATTTACAAAGTGCTCCATGCTGGGCTTCTCTAACTGACTCCTTTTTTACATACCTGTCAACTCTTATTGGCATCATCTCCTGGCAGAATGTGCTAGAAGTTTTTTGTTTTTTTTGTTTTTGTTTTTGTTTTTTAATAACTTCATGTTTCTATTATCCCACTAAGACACTAAATCCAAGGTTCCTGGCACTTGTAGTTGATAGAAAATTTGCCCCAGACACTCTTGAATTAACCATTTAATTAATATAACTAATTCAATATTACCTAATTTATATACTTACCATTTAGGGTGCTTCTATCAATCAAATTAGTATCAACTGGCCAATAACCTCCATCTCCATGACGACCTGTTCATTGGGAGAGCATGTCACAATGTCAGTACAAATGAAACAAAATGAAGACAAAAAGAATAAATATTTTAACACACACAATAACAGAACAGATTACTTTGATCACCCCCAAGAAAGCCTGACAACTCTCATACCCTTACACCTATAAGAAAATGTTATTTTCCATGTGTGAGAAAAACAAGTCGCAAAAGTAAACTCTCTTAAACTAAATTCAGTGTTTCACTGATATGCCATCCTCCATTCTTTTTATTTCTCCCAATATTCTTATTAAAGTCTTTTATTAAAGGTGCAGCAGCAGTGCCGGTCTAAATGCTATTCTCCTGAACCTTTTAGAACAGAAATAACTCAGGTCCTGGCTCCTAGGTCCTGCAGATACTGTCACCCAACTGACAAGACTTTATGGAAAATTATTGTTATCCTACAAGGGGCCAGCACATTTCATCTTATAACTGGGCTTTGGGTATTCTCTTTGTTAGGTGTCAAATACAGTACCTGGAAATGAAATTCCACATTGGAAGTAAGAGTGGAGGTTATGTCACAAACCATATGGTCTGAATATTTCCTACAAATACACCATAAAGGGAAGAAAGCTCCTTCAGTATAGCATTATTGGAAATTCTGCCTTCCATTAGGTGTGTAACAGATGTGAAAGCCGTATTTAAGAGAAATAAGCCAGGAATTCACCAGAAATAATTATACTATCATCCAAAATTTAATTAATGGTGTTTCACCACAGATAATCTTTTTCTCTACTGGTGCATTCATAGAACTGAAATCATTTGATTAGATTTTGAGTTCTAGAATATCTAGGTAGACTACTTATGTAAAACATTTGAGAGGTGAATCTGTATGCAAACAAAGACCAGAGTATAGGTAATTTTCTATTTTATTTGCTTAAAACAGTTATTTCTGAAAGCAGTTCCAATCAGTGGATGACATAGAGAAAGCCAACCAGGACACTCAGATACAGTAACATAGGTTGTTTTCTCACATTTAGAGATTTCAGTTTTCTTCATCTCTATAACTTTCAAGTCCTGGTTTTGTGACTTTATTTTGCATGACAAACACTACCCTTACTAAAGCTTTCCCAAGATTTTATCATTTTATTTGCAAAACAGCTTTCAAGAAACAACTTAGAATCCTGTTAACTGACTCTATATTCACAATTTAAAAAATTCTTTTGATATCAAGTCACAGCTGAAGTTAGGATGTCAAATTTCTAGCAAGCAATAAGATAAATTAATTCAGTCACCTTATATTATATCTTCAGCATAAAACGGCATGTTTAATATCTGCTGGGACAATGACTGTGAGTATGTAAGGAAGTAGGAGATAGGATGCAGGCTCCTATGTGTGTGTACAGGGGGAAGGTGGTGGTGAGAGGAACAATCAAAATGAGCTGAAATTGTGAAAATTTTAGTGGGCTGACAAAAATGTGGACAAGTCTAACCCTTTTACAAATACCTTGTTTATATAACTGTGATGCATTTGGGGTTTCAATGAGCAGCGGATAAGCTTTGCCCACGAGACATCGTGAGATCAACGTTGGCTGATGTGAGGTGGAAGCTCTACATAAATATTAAGATGACTTTTCTAGCAACTGAAAGCAGCTAGATTGCAAAGCAGTCAGCCAAAAGAGATGCTAACATCATCACTTAGGCCAGTAAAGCAATACATGTTTCCTGTTGGGAATAATCCTGTATCGGCTGGAAATTAGCTAGGTAGCCTATGGAGGATTTTCCTTTTCCTCCAGCAGCCTGGCAAATGTCTTTTTAATGAAGTTTCCAACTCTCCCTGTAATTTGTGGCAGGATGCAAAAAGAAGCCAATAAGCATATTCATATATTACATACACATATAGCTCTATGGGTACAGCACCCCTTAGATTTAGTGAGGCTATTGATTACATCGTGAATTTCAATAGGTAGAAGAAATCAGATGCCGTATAGGTCAAAGCGCTGGGTGAGATAAAGGAACTCTAGAAATGTTTCTAAATAACAAGGAGTAGCTTAAAGCTTGGACATTCTACTCACAGAATCTAGTATATTGATGTGGGTTAACTTTTTGTCCCTTATAATTAGATTAATATCACAAAAGGAAATCATGTAATTCTCAACAAGTCCAACAGAAAGCACTTTTTAAAAAGTTGATGTCACCAACGAGCAAGTTTAGATTTATAGTGATTCACATTTCTTGCACCACTTCAGCCAAAAAACCACAAAACCCATTTCTGGGATGTTGATGAGCCTAAGATCTCTTGATCTAAAGACAGAGGCATCAGATTTTAATTTTAATTTTAATTTTGAGTGATGTTAAGTTTCCATTCTCTGAAATATGTCTTTTAAATTTCAGGAAGTCTCCCTTTATGTGGCCAATACATAATAATAATAATAATAATAATGATAAAAGATTCTCCCATTGCTTTAAGGAGAGCATCACAAAGTTGTCAAATGAAGAGACAATAAAGGCTAAAAAGGAAAGGATATGGGTTTATGGGTGTTACTTCTTGGCATATCACAGCATTTTTAAGAGCTTGTTGCTGTAGAACAAATATTGGATGTGTTTAGTTACCTTGGTTAATTTCATAAGCACTGATTTCGAGAAAGAGAGGAGTAATCAGAATTTAGAAAACAGCTGGAGTGAAAGTCAGCTAATGCAAAGATATAAAATACTTCCCTATCCCAGAGGTCATTTTATTAATGAAGCATAAAACTGGTAATAATTCTTTCAAACATTTATTAAATGCTTACTACATGCAACGCATAGTCCTAGATCCTCAGGGAAGGAGTAGTATAAAAAGATATATTAGACATGGATCCTGCCATGACAGGGAGAGTTGGTTCATTGTAATCAGATCCTATGCAGGCCTATTTATGGTTAATATTAACCAACTGCAGATGGTTCTTAATATTTTCTGACATTAAAGATTTAAGAATAACTTAATTCATTTATTACTATAAACTTACTACTAGGTTTAATTAAAAATGCTTTTTAATTATTATTAAAGTATTCTTATCAAAAGTATTATTAAAAGAACTGCATGCAAATAAAAATGTTTTATTTTCAGTCACATAACTTTATATGTTTCATAGTTATATTTATTTTAAAATCTTGAATTACTTTTTTGCATATCATACTAAATTTTTAACACTTTTACAAATTAAAATTCTAAATAATTAAATGGATTTATGGAAATTCAAATATAAATTTGGGGGAAATCACGTAATAAATTTCAGTTTTCTTCCCTCAAATAAAGTTCAACATGGCTTAAAGCATTTTAGAAATCAGTAGTTTATTTTTTCCTTTTTATATGAATAATACAATTTTATATGAATAGTGATCAAATGTACTATATGAAGGCCAGGTGCGGTAGCTCATGCCTGTAATCCCAGAACTTTGGGAGGCCGAGGAGGGTGGATCACTTGAGGTCAAGAGATCAAGACAGCCTGGGCAACATGGCAAAACCTCGTCTCTACTAAAAATACGAAAATTAGCAGAGCACGGTGGCGCATGCCTGTAGTCCCAGCTACTCTGGAGGTGGAGGCAAAATTGCTTGAACCCAGGAGGTAGAGGTTGCAGTGAGCCGAGACTGCGACACTGCACTCCAGCCTAGGCGATAAAGCAAGACTCTGGCTCAGTAAAAAAACAACAACAACAACAACAACAACAAAAAACAAAGTGTACTATATGAATATAATTCTACAGGATATAAAGAAGAATTCTGTATTGGATTACTATGTACCCATATTTTCTCAATAACACAAATTGAGGATGGGGAGGAATGAGATATTAAAGAGTAATTAATTGATTTTCACTTAACAACTTTGGAATTTTATGCAGCTAATTTCATAAAAAAAAAAAAAGCTTCTGCCAAAGTTTTGATAATAAAAGCAAATGATTTTCTACTTTTACCTTAGATTTTGGAACCAGGAAATGGTAGCTTCAGAAACAAAAATTAAATAAATATTAAATGGGCATTGGCTGAGTTAAAACAGAGGGAGTTTGTAGCTGTTTTGAGTTATTCAAAATAGCTTTTATATATTTAAATATATTTTATTTAGGTAATGCTTAGGCAGGTCCTAATCAGAAATTTCATATACCTCTCCTTTCTTTGAATTTTTAAAATGTCATAAAGTCGTTTAAGGGGTTGCCTTACACATTTTATTTAAAAGATGGGCCTCATAAGGAATCTTCTTTTTATCCCTTTTTGGCACATACCATATGCTTCCTTGGACAAAAGTCTTCTTGATCTCCCTGCTACCTGTTCTCTGAATTGAAGAAAAAATTGGCAGAAGTAATATGACTTCCTTTAGGAAGTCTGTTCATTGTTATATTCCTTTGTGCTAACTGAAGTGATGTGCAAAAATGTGTTCTCAATGTCCTATGAGTAACTAATGCTAGCTAGGATGCTTTGTAATGTTTTAATAATAAGTACAAATCTTAAGTTATTACTATTATGCAATTTATTATTTATGTTATTATCCTTACATGTCACCTGAATTATTTGCATGTTTTTATTGTGGTGTACGTATAAAATGAAATAACATTAATGTTTATATTAAATCCTTATTTGCAGCACACATGGGCAGATTGAGAATCTTTTCCACGATAAAAAATTTTCAGCACTGAACAAAGATTAATTCAATTGGGATTTCAGTCCTAGAGTCTAGTTTTTCTGTGTGATTGTTTATAAGTTCAGAGAAGAGAGAATGGAAAATTAATCTGCAGAAGACATGGAGAAAAGTGGATGTGGTAGTTCTAATCGTTTGTTTAATCCATCTTCCCTGAATGGGCATAAGAGAGGGTCATCCAGGACGACGTTCATACAATCAATCCCTAGAGAAAAACGTATTGTCCATAATCTAAATCAAATGGACAGACTGGCCATCTAACAAATGTTCAATGTATATCTTTCCAAGGGTGCTGAGCACTGAGATATCTTCTTGATCTTAAAATTTGTTCTCTGAAAATAATTCTAATGATGATAGAAATTGCATTGATTTTCTGTCTTGTATACCAGCAGATAAAGAATATCCATTAATATTACCTGAATATAATTTTACTGTCCATCTGACACACAGACCGTATTTAAAGTAGGTGATTTGTCAGAGGCTGAAATGTGTTTCTAAAAGATCGGTTTACCAGGCAGTTGATAACAATGCTGATTTTAAACAAAGGCATCGGGCATCAAAAACCAGAAAGCAAAATCATAACCAACACGTAGGATATTTCAAATATTTTAATAGAAAAGAACTAATGAGCTCTCTTAACCTTTTCCTAAGGTTCAACACATTGTTTTCAAAACAACATGAAAGAAAGTTCACTGATTGAAAGAAAATACATTGTTACTGCTATGCCTGTCCAATATTGAGCCCTGGTGCTCTACAAATTCTTGCTGCTTTCCCTTCTTCAAAACCTTTGGTTTTATTTTCCACCTGTGGAAAGTCTAAGGGCAATAATCTGCAGGATAGGAATGCATTTGGTAAACTACTCTGAGCCAAAGTGCAAGAAAACCAAATATGCCATTACCCATATTTCTCTTAATCATAAGTAGTAGTATTTTTGCAATTCCAATTTCTGTATTTAGGCCATAAAATATGAACAGGTTAGACTCTTCCTGAGAAGTAAATTCATTTTTTAAAAATCCTTAGAAATCAAATTCAAAACTAAGATAATAATTTCACACACGAATAAAATGAAATTGAGTGAGCATACAGTTATTACAAAAAAAATACCAGGATACAAAATAGAAACTGTGGGTATCCTAGACAAATTTAAACAAATTAATTTCTTATCCTAATTTCTGCTCTTGGTTTACATCTTAGCCTGATAATGGGTCTTGACTGTCTGAGGCATGCATGTGGTCTCTTGCAGAGACCATCTTCTAAAGTAGGAAAAACGTTTACAAATACTGCATTATTTTTTGCAAGCACCAAAGTAAAGGCAGTACACTTTGCCAGGCCAACAAGTAAAAGCAGTATACTTCGCCAGACCAACCGATATATATATATTTATATATATATAAAATATATATATTATATATAAAATATATATTATATAAAATATATATTATATATAAAATATATAATATATTATATATAAAATATATATTATATAAAAAATATATAAAATATATATTATATAAAAAATATATAAAATATATATATGTTATATATAAAATATAATATGTTATATATAATTTATTATATATAAAATATATAATATATAATTTATTATATATAAAATATATAATATATAATTTATTATATATAAAATATATAATATATAATTTATTATATATAAAATATATAATATATAATTTATTATATATAAAATATATAATATATAATTTATTATATATAAAATATATAATATATAATTTATTATATATAAAATATATAGTATATAATATAATATATATAAATATATATAATATATAAAATATACATTATATATAAAAATATATATTATATAAAATATACATTATATATAAAAATATATATTATATAAAATATACATTATATATAAAAATATATATGAATTATATATAAAAATATATATTTTATATATATAAATATATATATAAATATATTTATATATATATAAAATACATAAATATATAAAATATATAAAATATACAATATAAATATATAAAAAATATATATTATATATTATATAATATATATAAAATAATATAATATATTATATATGTAATATATTATATTATATATGTAATATATTATATTATATTATATACAATATATTATAATATTATATTATATACAACATATATTATATTATATACAATATATTATATTATATTATATATTATATTCTATATATTATTATATTCTATATAATTTATTATATTCTATATAATATATTATTAAATATATAATTAATTATATATATAATTATAATTATATATACTTATATATAATATTATATATTCTATATTATATATTACATATTATATATTATTATATTATATATTATATATTATTATATTATATTATATATTATATATTATTATATTATATTATATATTATATATTATTATAATATATTATATGATATATGACACATTATTATAATATATTATTATATGATATATTCTATATTATTATAGTATTATATTATATATTATTATAATATATTATATTATATTATATATTATATTATTATATTATATATTATAATATATTATATTATATTATATATTATATTATTATATATTATATATAATTTATTATATTATATATGTATATATTTATATATTATATATAAAAAGAAATATATATATTATATATCATATATTAATATATTATATATATTTCTGTTTTTAGAAGCACATTGGTTACTCCTCTGAATTCTACTATTTCTCATTCTTACATTCTTGATGTCTCATAAGGGAGAGTGGACAAAAACTGAAAAGGCAAATATTAGGGAACCAAAGGAGCTGGACAGATCAAGATCTTTTGTTAACAGGAAAGTAGTTAACCTCCTTCTTAAAGATTTCAGGTGAGAAAAGATGATAAGTTCTAACCTATGTGACAATAACTACACTTGACTATCTCCCTTGCCCGGCTGCTGATAACTTGTCAGCTGCTCCTGATCACCCTTGTCACAACCTTCCACACAGCTAAAGCCCAATATGTTTATTAGTTATTATAATTATTATTCATGCAAGTTAGGAATGAAACAACTGAATAACAATTGAATTCTTAATAGAATAAAACATAAAGATGGCTTCATAATATCAGTAGTATGGTGGTAGATGGTGGTCTCTGAAGTCCTTCCTGTCATTGGAATCTCCTTTTATGCACACTTGCCTCTAGTATATCTGAAGTAACAGTCATCCTAGGGGTCTAAGAAACCACTTTTATATGCAGCTTAGTCTTTATTAAAATCTAAAAAGCATTCTGTTCCTCCAAATATGGGCACTGCCTTGGATGACTAGATATTTCCAAGAGCTAGTTCATTTGCCAGGCTACAACATAAAGAATGAGACAATCTTTTTTGGCTTATAAAAGAGCATCTGTTCTCAAAGGCCACGGAATGATCCATAAAAGCCTCCCCCATCTGCGTGGTTCACAAGCTTATCCTAAAGGCAGGTGTGAGATATGTTTGTGCCTGAGCAAATTTGCCAAGCATCCCGGGAAGAAGAGGCAGAAGAGGATGAGAGAGTTCTCTCCTCCAAGTGACTATAGATCTGGAAGTTGCAGCTGCAGTCTGAAAACACTAGAACATGAGCACCCTGCTGGTGCCCTGCTAGTCTGTGTAGATAACGACACTGTTGGAGCACAGTATTTCATCATTTATGTCTCCATCCGTGCTTCATCCATCCACTCAACAAATGCATTAAGTAGATTCACAGTGCTAAGCATTAGGAATATAAAATGACTATTGCAGAAGTTTGTAAGTCAGTGAGACGGAAAATGTTAAGTGAATACTTACAACCATATGGTAATTTCCAAAAATTCAAAAAAAAGAAAACAAACAAACACGTGACCCAGTGGAAAAACAGGATGATTATCTACTTATGCCTAGCAAAAGGTTTCTCAGAGGAGGTGGCATGTGAGGTGAGAATTCTTTTTGCAAGCACCAAAGTAAAAGCAGTATACTTTGCCAGGCCAACCAGTGGGGGAAAATATACATATATAAAAATATATATAATAAATATATATTACATAAATATATAAATAATATAAATATATAAATATATATCATAAAAATATATATCATAAATATATATGATATATAACATAGTATAAATATATATCATAAAATATATTATAAATATATATCATAAAATTTATAAATATATAATATATATTATAAATATATATTATAAATATGTAATATATAAATATATATGTATTTATATATAAATATATAAATACACAGACACATACATATATATTTTAAGAAACACATTGGTTACTCCTGTGAATTCTAGTACTTCTCATTCCCACATTCTTGATGTCTCACAAGGGAGAGTGGACAAAAACTGAAAAGGCAAAAATTAGGGAACCAAAGGAGCTGGACAGATAAAGATCTGTCTTGATTTATTAGGTAGAGAACCGTGAGGTGGATGAGCTTAGAAAAAAAAGGCAGAGGTACAATAATAAAACTCCCTAAATGCTCTGCAAAATGGTCTAGAATTTATTTTATAGAGGATAGGGATCCACTGAAGATATTTTAAGCAAAACTCTGACTAATTACACATATATTTTAGAAAGATTATTCTGGATGACTGTGGAACTAAATGGATCAGAATAAACTGTTCCAATAAATATGGCAATATTAATTATGCATCTCTGAGGCAGACATTACTAACCCCATTTTATAGCTGAGAAAACTATAGCTCAGAAAGATGAATAAACACAGGGTTTCATTTGAAGTGGCTGATACTGTATGACTCTGATGATGATGATTTTAGCATTATAGGTGAATAAATAACTAAAAGAAGGAATAGGGGGCCAGGAGCAGTGGCTCATTCCTGTAATCCCAGCACTTTGGGAGGCCGAGGCGGGCAGGTCACCTGAGGTCAGGAGTTCGAGACCAACCTGGCCAACATGGTGAAACCCCACCGCTACTAAAAATACAAGATTTAGCCGGGCATAGTGGGGCAGGGGACTGTAATCCCATCTACTCGGGAGGCTGGGGCAGGAGAATCGCTTGAACCCAGGAGGCAGAGATTGCAGTGAGCCAAGATCATGCCACTGCACTCCAGCCCGGGTGAGAGAGTGAGACTCTGTCTCAAAAAAAAAAAAAAAAAAAAGAGAGGAGAAACGGGGAAAATTGTGGACAGAAATTAGAGCACTTCAAAGAGTTGGTCTTGGGGTGTAAGAGTGAGAGTTTAGGTATGTATGACTTGAGATGGTGGCTCTATTCTCAATTGAACATGCAGAACAAAACAAGGCTGTGGCAGAGAATGAAAAATAGTTTCCTTGTAACCATGCAGAGTACTGGAAAAAGTGAAGTTGCCACTTCAGAAAAGGTACAACAGAAGTGGTTAAAAAGAAAAAAAAAAGGCCAAGAAAATTCTTTGAAGATGACTGCTACTGAGGCCCCATTCCTACTCCCATCCCATCATCCTTTTCTCTCCCTATCCCACAGTCACACCCCTCCAAGCAGGAAATGATCAATATCAGCAACCAAGAGTGGATGGGTTTCCAGGGCTCGGGATACAAGGGAGCAGGCAGGCCTTCACTGGCCAGTGTAGACAATAGCTAGCTGATATGTTGAAAAGTAGGAAAGCCCCAGAACTACTACATTAGAGCAGAGAGAAATAGCAAAAGCCTCTTCACCAACATAGGTCTCTGCCATAAGGTACTACTCTGCAAAGGTAGGCATGAGATATGTTTGTGCCTGAGCAAATTATATCCTAAATGTTCCTGGAGCCCATCCTGTAGTCCTCACTATTTTCCCAGCATCTTGGCTTCCTAACTTTTCCATCCTAGAATTTCTCTACATAAGGGATCAGCTACTCTTCCCCCGGTAATAGTTTGCATTGAGTCTAGTTCTACTCATATATTTAAAGCCCAGTCTTAGGTTTTAAGAAGTCTTTTCTAATCCAGCCCACAATGATTTATCTGAAATCCCGTAACATACACATGTAGACAGTACCATCTGATTTGGCATTTTGTATTTTTCATACTGGACTGGAAGTGTTAATATCCTCCTCCTAACTATATTGCAAGCTTCTTGAAAATGGACCCACGGAACCATACTTCCTTCTAATGCTTTGCCAGGACCATTTCCTTCTAATGTTTCTAGTGCCAGCACAGTACTGGATACATAGTAATCCACAAGTTATCAAAAGTGAGTCTAGTTCTTTTCATACTTCATAGCCACAATTTTAACAAACTTATCAGCTTCCATTAGTTTTGATTTTCTCCTTTCTGTACTCAGAATTCCAAGCAGCTGGTGAAATTCAAATCTATAAATTTTCTGCTAACAAGGAAGGACAGCAAGACTGGAGGTCACAAAATGAGTGCAGGAGGTCGTAGCCATCTACAAATGTAACTACCATCAGCTGAATTACAGAGAACTTGTTTTTCTATTTAGCATTTATTTTAGTAGGTGATTATTGAATATACTTTTTCCTGTTGGAAATATATGCATAACTTCTCGTCTCCCCCAAGATCAGTAAATCTCCAATATACACAGCCATGTGCACTATTACTTTGAGCTGTCCAATCTACACTTTTCATTCAATGGTAAAACTTATCTTTCCAGATTACTCTGTAGCTGCTTCCCCAAACATTTGTGTTATGATTCTATTAAACAAACACTTATCAGACAACTAAAATAGGATAAATTCTAAATTAGGGAGGTAGGGATGACAATGTGAAGAATCTAGCCAGTTCTCTGTTCTTGGGAATTTAAAATCTGGTCAAGAAGCTAAGAATATAAATAGCAAAGTATAAGAAGAAATGGAAAACACAATAAAAATAGGATGGGTGTTATGAAAATACAGGTGAATAAAAGACAAGAAAGGTAAGAAAGGATTCTTGAAAAAAGTAAAATTGAGAAGGGAGTCTCAAAGAAGACTTTGCTTAGTTGAGAAAGAGAGAAAGCACAGCTAAGGCTGAGAAAATGGTACACATTACAGCATGTAGTTGTGAAAAATGCACTTTTTCCAGGGTGATTTGTGATTGTGGCATATGTGGAGGGATCTATTGGCCATGACACCAGGAAAGAGACGTTACAGTCAGATAGCCAAGGTTCTTGATGTCAAAGAACTGACTCATCCCCAAAGCAACAGTGACCCATCTGTTTTGGAAAGAAAATTGAAGCGGCAGAATCTAGGGCTGATTGAAGTGGGCAGAAAATAAAGCTAGGAAGACCGTGTACTTGGCCAATATCTGTACAAGGAAATGGCATCCAAAATACAGTGGCTCTTACAAGAAGAACCTGTTTATGGAATTTTATTTGAAGTGTATAAACAAAAATGTCTACCTTACAGGTGTGAGAAGGTTAAAATTATCCCATGAATCACATCAATTCCTATGAGTACTGAGTACGTTTTTGTTCCTTCAGAGTTACCTATTAAAACATGAAAACTGCTGAGAAGTTGACATAGGCAGCTACTTGACTGCTTGCTGGGAACATGATAAGCACCTTAACACTCCATTAAAAGCACATTATTCATTTTCTGCTACTACTGTTTCACCACAGTCCTAATTTACAGAATTGAACCTGTGAAAAACCCAGGTGAGAATAGCTTTTTCAAGTGGGTGTAGCAAGCAGCCGAATAATAAACTGTGTTGAAACTATGCACAATAATAGGGTAAGAAGAGGTTTTAATTTTCAATTAAACAGCTCCCATCAGAAGGCACTAAAGGTTTCCATTTTTCAAACGGCAGTCTGGCTGCTGTAATCCAAACCCTGCAAAGTCTGGATTACATTAACTAAATTCCAAGCTTGACTAGACTGCCTCAAAAACCCTATTTCCCTGAAATTTGAAACAATTAACATTCTGTTTATTCATGAGATTAAAACTGCTGAGGTGTAAAATGGCAGGTGCAGTGTTAAGTACTTTGCCTGAATACCCTATTAAGGAAAGACAAAGTCCTTTAAACTAGGTGAACTTATGGTGATGCCATTTAGGTATAACTTTCTTGATGACAGATCATGAGTCTGCATTTCCAGAAATTACACAACGTCAAGAGCAGAGATTCTCCAGTTAGGTAGCCTGGGTATGTATCTGGGCCTAATCACTGTCAACCTAAAATAAAGATACATAGAGGTGAATCTCTGAGCGAAGAAGGTATTTGAGAATATGAATTGCAATTCAGGACACCCAAACCAAGGTAGCCCCAGGTGAGTCTAGAGAATAAAGGGAAAGGCGGAGTTTTATTGTGGAATAGAGGAAGGTTATGCAAGTTGTTTTGAAAGTAAGTTAATTGGTGCTGGTAGTGTCTTCCAGGAGCTGCTGAGTGTCAGCAGGTGTTAAGTAAGATGTGGAATCTTAGAATCATGACCAGGTCCTTGAAGTTTTGGGTTTAGTCTCACAAGACAGTTCCTGGAATAAATGTATGTGATCTGAGTGCTTTTCCTTATAACCTCCTGACTCCATTTTAGTTGGGTATGACATGAGTGACTCCATTTTGTATAATCAACTTTCACACCACTTACATACTGTGAGTGTTTGGGCAAGTTTTAACCTCTCTGTCTCTTTTTCTACATCTGTAAGGGTGCTATAAGAATCAAATAGGATTGCATGTGCACAATGCATAGAAGAGTAATTGACACATAGTGGAAAAGCCATAAATGTGAGATGCTTCACTATGCAAAGATGTTATGCCTGAGTTTTTATTCTAATACCAACCTTAAAACTTCAGAATCTTAAATCTTGAAAGAAACCAAAAGATAATTTAGTCTGAACTTATCATTTTACAGGTGAGGATGTTGAGAGATGTTAAGTCACCTGCCCAACATTACACAAGAGGTCCCAGTGGCAGGACTGTGCTAGAACTGAAAGTATCTAATTCCATTCCAGTGCTCCTATAGCACACACTGAGTGACTTCCAAATGAAAAGCTAGACCATTATCAGCCATTACCACAATTCACAGGAGAGTAATTCTTCCTCCTTGTTGGGCGGGCAGTTTACAGCAGGCTGTCTTTATCTGGATCTGTAAACTGCCCTATGTACGTAGGCCTCTTCTCTAGGTCTAGTGTTTCAGATCACCCCTTTTCCAGGTCATGGAGAATTAAATACACTTGAGAGTGCTCAAAGTGAGCATTTTCTTTGTAATTCATCTCAGCAATGGTGAAAATCACTTCATGAGAATCCTGCCCACTTTAAGGTACTGTATCATCGCCATAGCACCTATTGTTACAATGAGCAGACGTAGAAACACACATGAAAGAGTAAACATTTCTGCTCATGCTAAGAATATCGATTTTCATACAAAGACATCTCAAAGTGGAGAACAATATTTGGACATTAAATGGGACATAACGATGCAAACAAAAATACCTTAAAAGTTTGATCTAATAATCACTTTTAAGAAGCAGTCATGTTTCAGAGTTACAGCTAACCTCCATTGCAAACTCAAAACAAAGGGATTTTCTAAAATGCTTCTGTGAGACACTAAAATGTTGGAGCTGATTTTAGAAGAATGGAAATCAAATGTTTAAATATAGTAACCATTTACAGTAGAAAGACTGCACACTCTAGGAACCAGAAAGAAAAGTTTTGAGTTCTAACTCTGCCAACAGCTAATTCTGTGATCCTGGGTAAAATGTTTACCTTCTGCTTCTGAAAAACTGGGAAAAAATTAGTGAAGGAGTGAAATAACAGCTTTCTTTTTAAATGTGGATGCTATGGACTGAATTGCTTCCCCAAAAATGTGTATATTGAATCTCTAACCCCCAATATGATTATATTTGAATATAGGGCCTTTATGGAAGTAATTAAATCATAAGGTTAAATGAAATCATAGGGTAGGGCCCCAATCCAATAGGATTAGTGTCCTCTGAAGAGGAGACACCAGAGAGGTCACTCTCCACCACGGGAAGACACAGCGAGAAGGCCACCTGCAAGCCAGGAAGAGGACCCTCACCAGAAACTGACCACACTGAACCTTGATCTGGGACTTCCAGCTTCCAGAGCTCTGAGAATATAACTTTCTGTTGTTTAACCCACCCAGTATATAGCGTTTTGTATTGACAACCCAAGCTGGCTTAGACAGTGAATTATCACCATCCCTGTTTCCTGAAATAAAGAAGTGTCAGGATCATGTAATCAGCGCTGTTGCCACCCCACTAACAAGATGACCTCAGATTGAGAGTTATTTCCCTTGTTCTTTAGAATATTCAGAGATGTGAAAAGGAAGATCTATATAGGACAAATAACAGCAAACAAAACTTCAGTTAAAGCAACTTTATAGCTATACGTCGAATGTGAATGTGTGGCTATATACATGTAACATATCTGTTGTCATGCAGTTGATGGTTAAAATCAGGGCTTTTGGGTGGGGCATGGTGGCTTACTCCTGGAATCCCAGCACTTTAAGAGGCCAAGACAGGCGGATCACAAGGTCAGGAGGATTGAGACCATCCTGGCCAACATGGTGAAATCCTGTCTCTACTAAAAAGACAAAAAAATTAGCCAGGTGTGGTGGCACGCACTTGTAATCCCAGTTACTCAGGAGGCTGAGGCAGGAGAATCGCTTGAACCTGGGAGGCAGAGGTTGCAGTGAGCCAAGATTGTGCCATTGCACTCCAGCCTGGGTAATAGAGTGAGATTCTGTGTCAAAAAATTAAAAAAAATAAATAAAAATAGAATAATTAAAAAAAAAAGGCTTTTGGAATGTGGTTTCTGGGGTTGGATTTATGGCCTTTCTACTTACTAGCTGTGTTTCAATAGACAAATAACATCTCTCTGAGCTTCACTTTCTTCCTTGCTAAAATGGAGACAATACCTTTCTCACAGTATTGTTACGAGAATTAAGTGAGTCACTCCTGTAAAGCTTTTAAAACAGTGACTGCTGGCAAGAGCTGCATAGCGGTTCATTTTACCATTACATAGGCCCACAACAGCACAGACAAATTGAAGGAGTTTTAATCAGAATATAGAAAAAAAGGGAAAAAATCAAAAGTCAAAACAAAAATCAAAACAATTATTGAATTCATCGATGTAGAGAATAGAAGGATGGTGACCAGAGGCTGGGAATGGTAGTGGGGGGCTGGGGAGAGGGGAGGTGAAGATGATTAATGGGTATAAAAATATAGTTAGAAATAATGAGTAAGACCTACTATTTGATAGCACAACAGGGTAACTATAGTCAATAATATAATTGTACATTTTTAAATGAACAGTGTAATGGAATTGTTTGTAAGTCAACAGATAAATGCTTCAAGGGATGGATACCCCATTCTCCATGATGTGCTTATTTCACACTGTATGCTTGTATCAAAGCATCTCATGTACCCTACAAATATATACACCTACTATGTAGACACAAAAATTAAAAATAATTTTTAAAGCATAGATTTTCTATCTAACCTCTGCACCCGCTTCATAGAGCCTGTGCAATTTCCTTACCCAACCCTACAAAAAACGAAACTCTGGTTTATCTCTAAAATTTCTTTTACTTCCCAACTTATTTGCCACCTGTGCCTGGAAGAATCTACAGAAATAATTAGGATATGGAGCAAGAGATAGGGTGATGCAAAAAAGGAGAATTATAGAGGTGGTCAAGATTAGAAAGTTTTAAAAATGCTATATTTCATCAATTTACAATTACATAAAGAAATCAGGGGTTCTATGTTAATTGCCTATCATTGTCAAACAACTACTATACCATTGCTCAGAAGAAAATATTTTCTCCAAATCAAAACCATTTCAAATGACTATTGTTTTCACATTTATGTTCTTCATGGCAGATCTTCAATCCCTAAAATAATAATAATTGTGACAAGAATCTGAACAGATACTTTTTTTAGGACAATCAAAACTGGTCTCACTTTCTCTCATATAAGTCAAATTCAACCTCTTGCTTCTTTATTTAGGATTCATCTTTGCAAGGTTAATTCTGACCCCAGATGCCACATTTTTTTCTCTGAGGGAATTTTCTCTCAGCAGAAACTCAGCTCCTGTCATAAATGTAATAGTGGGATCATTTCTCCATGAGAAGGGGGCAAATAGGTCTAACAGTGGGAATGGTAAAACATATTCAACTAATTTGCTGTGTTCTGGGAATGGGAGTATTAAGATCAGCCTCTTCCTATTATTTTCATCAATCTTAGAGGGATCTTTAATCTGGGTTATTTCTCATGCATGTGGTCATCAACTCAGAAGACTGATTTTGTTTATAAAACGTGCTTTGAGGGTGCAGCAAATTTTATATGCTTTCTTTGTAAGAATTTGAAGATATTATTTATAACCACTAAATTATATGTCATCAGTCCCTCTCAATTTTATAAGTGAATTGAGTTTGATGTAAAATTTAGAACCTATCAACTTGATCAACTAACTACATGCCAACCATGACTGAATATGGCTCCAAGTTACATATGTGACAGAATCCTTCTGAGTAATATTAGATGAAGAAAAAGAACAACTGACTAAATATATTAATGGACTCAGCCACTGGCAGTAATTCTTGAGGGGGTCCTTTTGTTCCTGAGAACTAGCCTGATTTATTGTAGATGTGAGACTCAAAGTAAAATCCATGGAGGATGTGTGATCATAGGGACTGGGAAATAATTTACTCATTTGCCTTTCATAAAATAATCAATTTACAGAATATATGTGTGGTGGTTTAAAATAATATTATGCAAAACAGTTACCTTAAAAAACTAAAAGCAATTAACAAAAGAAAAAACAATATAATAGTACCCAGAGAGAAGTGGAAAGCCATTTATTGAGAAGCCTGGACATGTTTGTTGTCAACTAAGTGACTAATAATGACATTTCAACTAGTTCAGTTATTTTAATCTTTTTCTCTATTATTTTAAAATATAATTTCAAAACTTAGGAGTTATCTGTCTACGGAAGCTTCAAATTTATTTAAGTAAAGAAGGTTATGAGAGGTTGTTTCAATTGTTTTATAACTGCAATAATAAAGCTGGTGCTATTAACTATTCCAGATTTGGATTTGACCAAGACTAATATTTAAGTTACCTATGTAAATACATGCCAAGTGATAATTACTCATCATTAATATTTTTTACAAATCTCATTTAGTAGATATTAATTGTATGAAAACATTTTCAGTGGAAGCAAGTAGGAGCAGCTAGATTAATGAAAACCTTAACCCTGAGTAGCCATTGCTGTGCACAGTCCCATTTCAATTATTCCACGTAAACCCCTAGCCATGTTCTGTTAAGCAGCTGCATAGTATACATCGCCAGAGAAGAATGTAAACACAGGACCACTGAAGAAAATGCTACTCATGCAGGAAGCATTCTGCTGTCAGGGAGAGCCAGCATCCAGAGGCTTAGTATTTGTCAAAAGTTAAAAAGTATTCCTGTTGAAAGAAAGCATTCCCCTAATCTCACGACATGGTGCCTTATGAGACACGTTTGCAAGTAAGCACTGCCCACAGTAGGTGTCCAAAGCAGGAAGGAAACAAACTATATGAACTGCAGACTCTCAATCTACAAATACTGACAGCACTGACTACAACCAGTTTATAGTTTTTCCTAACTCTTCTGGAAAGAAAGTAACATCCTCAAAAAAATAAAACTCATAAACTATTCATTGTCTCCCTCAGCTTTCTACTAATTGTCCTTTGTGTAAAGATAACGGAATCCTAATTTATCAATCAGTCTACAAATCACGGTAATAGTAAGTTCATATCCACTTATAAGTTGATGGATAACTCTTATTTATCTCCATTTTGCCTTTGTGTAAAACTTTACCTGTTTCTCTATACAAATCAGCTTTTAGTAAATAAATAAGGAAAAGGGAGAAAATACTGTGCTGTGAGTCAAATGAGCATCTGATTCACTGAATAAGAGCTTTCTGGCTTCAAAATGAACAATGATAATGCCCTAAAAAAGGTGACCCAACTTTGATTTTATATATTAAAAGAAGCTCATTGCAGAGGAAAATCACACATAATTTACGGGTTTTCTCTGTAGAGCTACAGAACTTTAATCCATAGCTCAGGAAAGGGTGCAAGAGCAGCTTGAAAATTATGCTGAGCTTAATTATACTTAATGTGAATTATTCAGAAGTGCAGACAGAGACTAAAAATTTATTTCATACAAAGAAGCTTGACATTTTAATTGGTCCTTCAGAATGGAGACAAAACAATTTCCTCTCAAGAAAATTTACATCTTCCTTATCAGAGCCGCAGCCTCAGCCAAGCAGAACTTCATTAACAAGATTAATCGTCACGCCAGTGTCTGCTTCATCAGGTGTATGGTCCAGGTGAAAAGAGGAATATAAAGTAATGACTGACATGTCTAACAGACAGGATTGATTCAAGGAACACAAAATGACAGATTGAGCCACCATACCTTGGTCATTAGCCATTTTGTCAGGGTGTTCCACTGCGGGGGAAAAAGAAATAACATTATTAGACTTTGACAGTTCCTAGCAAGAAAGCTGACATATCAAACCAACAGTTCTTTTTAGTAAGTTTTTATTTCAAAGCTAGTGCCCTCTTGAAATAAAATTGATAAGGACCCAAACTTACATGTTTATTTCTATTAAATAAGTATTCAGAGAAAAAAAATTGAAAATAATGTTTTTGCTGTACAAATTCATCCTAAAATTATCTTACTTTTCATATCCCTCTAAACATAAACTGAGAACAATTATATAAATTTAATTAAAACTAGAATTAACAGTAAAAAAAAACTGCATGCAATTACCAAGTAATTATCACCCATATATATATTTAAGAAAATTCAGGAAGCTATTTTCTTGTATGTGACTATTTTTTAAACAACTTCACCAATTCTCACATAGACTGGGTAAAATAATTGGCAACCATAAATATGGTACAATATAATCTAAATATCTTGATAAACTTTAGCCCTTGTGAAGATAGCTCCTGAGTTGTTGTTGACAACTTCAGAGGACTTACAAGTAATAGTCTCAAAAATGACTTTTTGAAATTTAAATTTAAAAATATAAAAATTAAATTGCTAAATTTTGTTTTAAAGATGACTTTTTTTTTCTGCTAACCAGATGAAACTAAATAAGAGGTAAATCTCTAGTATTATCACATTTCTGAAAATTACATGGCATTTTGACCAAGGCAGATCTTCATAAGCTTCCCTCCCTCAATTACTAGTAGAATTATTTTTACCTAGACTTGACCGTCTTTGAGCTTTGAGTCTTTTGGGCGTATTTAACTCACTTGATTCCATTCAAACTTGATAGGTAGGATACAACACTTGCCGATTGCTTCCTGTATATGTCTCAGTAAAATTCACATAGAGAAAATATAATAGGCAGCAACTGATAATACAGTCTCTCATCAGATGTGGCGCTATTATAGCAAATCAATCATCATTTGAAAAATACCTTAAACGCCCTACAGGTGGTGGTCCTTCTTTTTCTAAATAAAGCAGCACAAATCATTGCCTAATAAGAATGTTTAGAACTGAAATACGTAGATATTGATTCTGTTAACGAAAGCCCCTTTCAGATGAACAGGGTTTATGTCTATTACATCCTAAGAGTGATTTCTAAATCAGAAATCAATTACAATTTCTTTCATTTAAACATAACATATACACATATTCTATGAAAAGATATCTTGATAAGTAGTAGATTTTGAATTGTGAATTACTCTTTGGGAAACACTACATATACCAGGATTTTTATTATTGCTCTGTCACCCAGGCTGGAGTGCAGTGGTGCAATCTCAGCTCACTGCAACCTCTGCCTCCTGGGTTCAAGCAATTCTCCTGCCTCAGCCTCTCAAGTAGCTGGGACTACAGGCATGTGCCACCACGCCTGGCTAATTTTTTGTATTTTTAGTAGAGATGTGGTTTCACCATGTTAGTCAGGATGGTCTCGATCTCCTGACCTCGTGATCCACCCGCCTCGGCCTCCTAAAGTGCTGGGATTACAGGTGTGAGCCACCACGCCCGGCCAATGTTTATAATTTTACAATTCTATAAGCGTTATTTTAAAAAGTTATTGAGATATAATTGAAAAGTAAAAAGCTGCCCATATTTAATGTATGCAATTCAATGAATTTGAGAGTAAGGATATACTTATGAAACCATCACCACCTTCAAAGCCACAGACTTGCCCCAAACTCCCAAAGTTTCCTCCCACCCATTTTATTATTATTATTATTTATTGTGGTAAAAACACAGTATATGATCTACCACCTTACTAAATTTTAAGTACATAATACAGTTATATTATTTATAGGAACTATGCTGCATAGTAGAGCTGCAGAATTTATTTATCTTGACACTCTCTGATGGGCTAGTGGTTAGAATTTGGTGCTCTCTGAAAGCTTTAAATAAGTTTTATGAAATCTTGTACCTTGTCAAGATTTAACAAACATTTTTAAAGGTTTACCAGCCATTTAATTTAATCACCACAGTTTAATTTTATCTAGAGTTTCTCTTCTGTTTCCCATTGAAAATTAATGGCTTCTCAAATACATTTTATTATAGTGTTTTATTATAGTATTGATAAAGATGCTTTTGACAGGCAGTTGCATTATATGTAGCTTATGGACAGGAATACGATTTTGAACTGAGATCCTAACACAGCTGTTGAGAAAGGACAGTATGTTGTTGGAAGTGCTACAGGTCCCCAGCAAGAATGACCTGATCCTTGACAAGATATGTCAAGGTCATAAGTGCCCACCCAATCCAGGAAGTATGTAGGTTTGGCAGCCAGACTGGGACACATTTAAGAAACTATCCTCATCAGCATCTCATATTTAGGTGAGAATTCTTTAGAATTATGTCAAAAAAGACGAGACTACCACCCTTATCTCCATTCTTTGTCTGCCCTTTATCTTTAATCATATACATGCATTGTCTGCAGTCTAAGATATTTTTAGCAAGGGATAAATAACCACATGTAATGATAGACAAACCCATTCTCATTTTTATCTTTTGAATTTATTTTTCTACTAGCAAAGCTGCACTGAATAGAACTTGAGAAATTTTGAATGTCTCAAAATGTTATCTACTGAAGAGTATTTTCCAACAGGGACCATATGGATTCTCATAACTACCTTTTATTAGAGACAAAAATGGCTTACATTTGTGCCTTGATTTTTTTCTATCATATGTTTCTATCATTTGTCAAGAAAAATCATGTATTTTTGTCATAAAAGAATTTGACGACTAGAACTTTTTTCTATACTGGTCCAAAGCTTTCAGTGCTATATTCTTGGATAGGGGAGAGGCACATTTCAGAATGATGACTAAGGATGCCCAGAGAATTTACTGTACTCTATTGGGCTTTCACTCTGAATACCACTCTTTTGTGTGTAGGAAGTGACTCCCTCCCTCCACCAGAATCCTCTGTGGTCTACTCCATTGGGAGCATCCTTCCTCTCTATTACCCGATAGGCCAGCATGGGGAAGCATGCTTTATCAGCAGGAAAAACCCACAGGATAGGGCAGAGATAGACATAAGTCTTCCAATAGTTTGACAGTGTGTATGTATCCCAGTGGGACCCTGGGGAGGATTAGTGGAAAGGTGGGTATGTGCAGGTTCCTATGTGGTCAAGTAATCAAGGTCAAGATTCTTTTAATTAACATTCCAAAGAAAGAATTAGATACATCATATATGTGTACCTACATAAGTTTACAGTAAGATAATCCCTTTCTAATTACAAATGTCCTTTTAATTAAACAGTGATTATTGACTGAGTTTCCTGTACTTCTCTGACTGGTTGTTAATATCAAAAAGACCAAATGCTAGCCTCTAGAATAAAATGCTGCGATCCTTGCAAAGGCTAAATATGAAGGAATGACGTTCGTGGACACCTGCCTGGCACAAGCATTACTATGAAATACTTGCCCATTACCCAGTGAGTACTGGGAGTTTTCTCAGCTTCGGGACATCTAAGCCTTTGTCTCAGGCAAACAAAGTTACATTCTGATGAGCACAGTATGCTCTGCTGCAGCTTTGGGAAGTGAAAATCTTAAATCAGAGAGCAATAGCATGATTTTATCTTTGGTGTAGATTTGGCTCTACACCAAATCTTTAAAATGCTTATGTTGTAGCTTGAAATCTCTTATGATGAGTAATTTATTTGTCTTAGAACATTTGCCATTGTAGGTGTCTTGTAAGATGTATACATGTACAAAATTATTAATAAAAGTGACCAATATCAATATTTCTGAGTAATTTTAAATGATCAAAAACTTATTTTAGCATATAAACAACATGTGTTTAAAATAGAATTGACTATTATCGAGCATGACATTTAGGGTAGACAATATTAAACTTCAAATCAGGGTATTAGAAATAACTCTTTGAACCATTATGTCATAGAACAAATTCCTGAACTTGTTCTTAGTTTTCTAGATGTGTTTAGGGCACTTAGGGTAAACAGTACCAAATGAAATACTGAGCTCATTAAACAATTCCTGGGATGGCTATCAATGTGGGCCTGCAAATCTTATGATAACTCATCACTCTGCTGTTTAACACATTTGGATGCCTTAAGTCATCTTCAACCTTTCCTCAGATCTCTCAGTTGGCAAACATTATGAGTATGAAATTAATTTGGCACTCATCTATAGATAAAAATGAAGCATTTGCAAAACACTATCTAGTTACATTTCATGCTGCCACAAAATGAATAACGAGTTGCCTTTTGATTGCTCATTTGGAGTGAAACCTGATTTAGACATGAAGTCCTCAAAATTTAGATGACAAAGATGAACTCATTTCTATCCTACTTTCCTCCCAACTTCTACTCCGCCATTAAGAACTGTCATGCAAGCTTTGGCTGAATGCTTGCTTGTGTGTTGTTGGCAAATTTTCAGATTAGCTGCTACCAAAACCCAGCTTTTGAATAGCTCACTCATCAGAATTCAAAAGTCCCTTATTTACTAGGGTACCTTTCCTAGAAGATTTGAGGAATAGGCTATACAGTTATACTAAGACTCTTCTTTTAGTATGTCAAACAGAAGAAGCCAATCATACGTGTGTTTCTAATTTTTTACTTTACTATCATGTATTAAGATTTCTGCCAGATATAGAGGTATGATGTGGTCACAGATTTAAGAGCTAAGTTATCCTTCTTTAGAACAACACATATCATGCCTTAAATATACAACTTTAAATATTAGTTGTGAAACTTATTACAAATTATTCAATTGTTAAATGAATTAAACATTCAAATTATTGTAATCATTTGAATGTTTCAAATTATTTTCAATTGTTAAATGACTCTTCAAACCATTTGTCCCCCAGAAAAATAATACTGTGCTCTAAAATAGTAAGTACTTACATGAAAATATTTTGATGTAATCACTACTATTCAGCTTTAGTGTTTCTCTGTATGAACATTTTTTCTTCTAGATATCATATTGCAACTTTTTTATAGTTTCTACCTTGGTTCTTTACAATAAATAGACTTTTTTTTTGGTTTGGAACTTTCTGTCTTGTCATATCAAAATTTTCTTTAATATATAAGGGATAATAGTACCTGAAAGAAAATACCTAAAGTCGGCAATAGTATGCTATTCACATAATTCAATACATTTTAATTTTTATCCCCTTACATAAAATGGCTGAAGCATTTCATTATATTTTGAATAGAACCAATATACATGACATCAATAAACTTCTAGCAGGACTGTAAATGAAAAAAGTCATGTTAAATATGTTTGCCATGTGCTGATGGCAGATCTTTCTTTGATATGTCGGCTTTGAGCATAAAAAGCTACATTTTAATTTATTTTGAATGTCCACTGCAGCCATGTTGCTAATAGAGATGGTGCAGGGCCATTTCTAACACAGAGTGCAAAGCTATTTTATAACAATCCCACAGGAAAAGAAAAGCATAATAGGAAATTATTCAAACCTTTCAGAGTCCTGAAGAGGATAGGATCAGAGAGTGGCCCCACTCCTTTTGAATTTCGTGCTTGAATTCGAAAGTAATACATAGTATCAAGGTTGAGATCCATGATTTGATGAGTAAGCCTATCACCACTGATTGTTTCCATAATCCAGTCATCAATTGGGATGTTCTTGTCCAAGGTATAAAATAAGATGTAAGCTGCATAAATAGACAAATGTGACTTAATTTGGTGTCCTACACGCTGCAGTTCTGCTTCCAAACACCCAGGTTTCCCAAATGTAATTTACAATAATTATTATATGTCCACAATCTGTAAACTACAGCAGTTCTGTAAGTAATGTCTTTTTTTCATAATGCAAGGATTAGATAAATAATTGCTGCAATGTACAGAATCAGAAAATAGAATAAGCTGTTAGAAGTAAAAATATCTGCCACATTTAAAAATGTGTGCTTTCTGCTACCTATAAATCCTGATTATTAGTTTGTTCTAATATGAAAGCATGATGAAAAATGTAAAACAGAGATAACAAGTCTGTATAATTTTCCCTGTAGTCCAATGATGAAAATAAACAATATTTATTTTGGCTTGTGCTTAATAAAAATGTATTGGAAGGTATAAAATGCTATACATGTTTAAAGTGTAATATAAATAAATGATATTTGATCACTGTAACAACTTAGTGAGGTTGCCAGGGGCGGTGTTGCTTTCCTTTCACAGACGGTGAAGCTGCAGGTGACCCAAACTGATTGGTAAAAGGTCTGGGCAATATTCTTTACCACCAGACTATGTATGGGATTCTTTACCAGTATACTATTTCTCCCAGTCCAGTCTAGCTTGTCAAAGAAATAAGTATTGCTGGATAACTGTACATGATCTAGTTATTATCTCAGATATTAATAACCTATGTTTATATAGTATTATTGATTTTCTGTGTTAGGGGATATGTTACTTGAGTGCTAGTTGTGTGTACTCAGTCATGATAGTCTAATATGCACCCGAACAAATTCATGGATTCCTGTCACATATTTATACTCTAACATTATACTTAACCAATTTGTGACCTAGCTCTAATTTAAAAACATTAATCAACAACTTTTATATTATATTGCCAGATAACACCGTAAAGGCGCTCATGATAGGTGTCATTGATAAACAAATGTCGTGCTGATCTCCATTTCTGCCACAATTCTTCAATGCTATCTATATAACATAGGCTATAAGTGTCCCTCATTCTATTTATGCATCAAATACATTCTTTGTAAGTCGTTTTCTTAAGAACAAGTGTCTTCCTTTGATTTACCTATTCTTTCCTTTTGAGTCCCTCTTGTCCCAGCTGGACTGGGGACCTTCACCCACAGGTCTTCGCAGTGGTTAAGGGTTATGTCAGAGGGTTCTCAGACTCAGAAAATAGCCATGCACACTATGTACATCTCAGCACAAACCTTCGCTACAGGAAGACTATTCTCCATTCCATGATTCTTCTTCCTTCCCGCTTATTCCCACACCATTCCACCTTTCTTCACTCCATCCAAATCCTACTCATCCATTAAGGTCTACTTTAAGGTATATCTGGCCTATGAAACCTTCCTCAATCACAAGCTCTCCTCTCCATAAACATGGTAATACACTTCAATAAAGTAAAAACACATGTGCCATTTTATATCACTCATCACTTAATCCCATAGTGCCTTATAGAATTATGCCTGGGCTTGGGGGATGCGTCACTGGATATTTTGTCCTTCTGATTACGTAGGATTAAGCAATGTTACAATCTCCAACATCTGGAAGCCCATTTCTCTTAAATTTTGAACAATGCTGAAAACTTACATCTATTTTGTATTGACTTTCACCTTTCCCCTAGGTTTGGTATTTCCCAAATCTGCGTAATCATAATAGTTACCTGAAGGATAGGTACAGATCATAAAATACAGACCCCAAGACAGGATATGTTGATTTAATACATGTGGTAAACAATCTTTGATGGCCACCAATTATCCTCATCCTCTAGTAATATCATGCCCTTGTGTATTCCTTTCTGTCGGTATGTAGATGGGCCCTAAGTCTTGTTTCTAACCGATAGAAGACAGGAAATGCAATGGAATATCAATTTCACAATTGTGTTACATAAGATCATGACATCTGCCTTGCTAGCAGATACCCGACTCTCTTCTTTCGCCTTTGATGAAGACGTCTGCCCAATGGAGAATACTTTGTGGCAGGAACTGAGGGTGGTTTCTGGCCAACAGCCATGACAACAATTACATAAGCTTAAAAGCAACTATTTCCCCTGTGAAACCAAAGATGAGACCTCAGCCAGGTGAACATTTGAATTTGCAGCCTTGTAAGAGACCCCAAAGCTAAACTGTGCTCAGATTCCAGACTCACAAAAACCATAAGATAACAAATATGTGCAGTTTTACCCTGCTACATTTGTGATAATATTGCTATACAACAATAGGCTTCTAATACTACAGGTCAAGGGTAACCTCAGTAATCTACACCCCAAATGATTACTGTGATCAACAAGGTCAGGGACATAATGGATATGTGGGATCTGTACATTTTTGGCATTTGTTGTGATGTCAATGATGAAAATATGAATATCTTGAGATGTTGAGAGCTTCGAAACTAAAAGCCTTACCAACATAAAGAATTCCACAAACCTTAAAAAGTTGTATGACCTTTCTGTCTGTTAAATATTAAACTTGGAGTTCTAAAATTCAAAAGGGATTATGAATATCGTTTGATAAAGGAGTTGTTTTCTGTCTCATGTGTGTCCATCCCTTTGTAATTCAGCCCCCATGATAAACATCAATAAAATTGCCTCATATTCTTTGAACCAGAGCAGTCTCCAATCTTGTCCATGAAGATCCACATCTCCACATCTATTAAAAAGAAGACCCTGCTACTGGAGATATATGTGTGTGTACATACACACATTTCTGAGTATACATTTCTATAAATATCCATATATTACTATGTAATATATCTAAGATAAATATGTTATAGATATATATGAAATATTTGCCTTCACTATGTTTTTATCTATGTAAAAGTTACTGAACATATATATAGAGAGAGAGTAATAGTGAATATATATATATATATATATATATATATCCAGAATAAAAATCACTGGAGATATATATATGCAGCTAAATATAAAAGATATATATAAAATTTGTATATATATATGTATATATTCTATTATGTGCATGTCCTACCTCTTCAAAAGGATAAAAACATTTCTTTAGTTCAGGAGCCATATCTTATTACTTTTTTATTCCCCCCAAAAATCTAATAAAATCATATTCACATAAGAGGTATCGAAAGTCACTTATTGAATGAAATCCTTTAGCCTGTAAGTACATAAGTTTTACATTTAGATATTTAATGAAATCGTTAAAAATTTTCATGGGCTGTTTTAAGTGCATGATGAAACTGGAAAATTGGAGAATTTTGCCCCCATCCCAGGTCAACTGCACTGATTCCCGAGTCTCCTCATTTATCAGATGATGATAAAATATTTGTCTTCACTATGTTTTTAATCTATGTAAAATTATTCACTTAAGCATTTAAAAATGACAGCTCTGGGATCAAACTAAAGTTGAAGGTGCAGACATCAGTTTCTGACAATTCCAAATTGTATCTGAGCAAATTCCTTATATATGTGGTGAAGCCTACCCTTTTCTTAAAATTTAAGAACTGAGATGGAGAATAGAAACAGACCTCATCATTCAAAAGTCTAAAAAATGGCCTCAGAGAAAACAAGCAACTTCATTGGGATGTGTATGTTTGGTATATTTGAGAGATAATAAATTCATTATTGAAGCTTACCTTATAAATTTCTATATAACCACACAGGTTGAACAAATGTACTGGTTTCTCACTACATTTCTGTACCTGTACTTTTTTTCTTTTTTCTTTCTTTCTTTTTTTTTTTTTGAGACAGAGTCTTGCTCTGTCACCCGGGCTGGAATGCAATAGCTGGATCTCGGCTCGCTGCAACACCCGCCTCCCGGGTTCAAGCAATTATCCTGCCTCAGCCTCCCCAGTAGCTGGGATTACAGGCATCTGCTATCATGTCTGGCTAATTTCTGTATTTTAGTAGAGTCGGGGTTTCACCTTGTTGGCCAGGCTGGTTTTGAACTCATGACCTCAGGTGATCCTCCCACCTTGGTCTCTCAAAGTGCTGGGACTACAGGCGTGAGCTACTACGCCTGGCCTCTTTCTCTTTTTTTTTTAAACCTCAGAATCCCTAACTCTACTATAGACACTTTTCCAGAGAAAGTAACAAAGGGAATAAAAAGATCTGCCTTCTGGAAAGCAATATCAAGTGGAAGAAATTTCTGCAAATCAGACTGAGAAGCTATATCCTGGTGGTGGGAAGAAAAGTGGTTTGATGATTTTACAAAAGGGAGACAAATTAAACTAGGCTATCAAATGACACAGAAAAAGAGAATATAACCTTACATATTAGACTGTATTAATAAGGAAACAATCTCTGAAAGACCTAACTCTTCTATTTGTGTTAGTCTCAGATCTTAAATAGTGTTGGGCACTGCATTTATTTAGGCCTATGTTTCATATCTCTGGCTATACAATAAGTCACTTGGGAAGCTTTTAAAAATTACCATGCTCAGTCCCTTCTCATATGAATTAAATTAAAATCTCAGCTGCAAATCACTGATTTAGACCAGTAGAATACTAATAAATTGGAGCAAAACATAGTGTAATAATTAAGAGTATAAACCTGAGTTTTAAATCCTAGCTCTGCCACTTCTTGCTTATTTGATTTTGGGTAAGTTATTTACTCAGGAAAGGCCTAAGCTTTTCATTTTAAAATGGAATAATAGGAATATGTAATCATTTATATCATACTAAAGATCTCAGAAGAATGCCAAGCATATAATAAATGCTTAATGTATTTTGAATCATTTTCTTCTGAAAATGTCAGTCCAAATTCCTAAGTTTCCAGTTTATGATCAGAGAATTTAGGCACTGTGATTATCTGAATTTCCTCCTTTTTTGTTTAATCTTTTTGAGTACTTATATTTAAAAACTGATGATCTGGATTCTGTATAAAGCACATTAGTAAAGCCTCACCCTAGAATGGATTTCAAACTGGAATAATAATAGCCGATTCGTGTCAGTGCCCACTGGGTATCAGGGGCTTTTCTCAGCACTGTATTACAACAATTATTCTAGTGCGGTTCTATTACTATCTTTATTTTATAGGTGAGAAACCGAGAAAGTGGGACTCAAGGATGTTAAATGACTTCCTCATGTGTCTCCCTTAGAAGCCTGAGTTCTTAACTATCCTGCTCTACTGCCTGCCATACACATGAAAGATTTAGGAAAACAAAACAATACAGAGGTTACATGAGAGCACATCCCTCCTTGGCACACATCTACCTGGTCGCACTGAGAAAGAGCTCATTTCTTTTTTTTTTTTTTTACTTTTTATTATTAATTGTTGCACTTCCACAGGAAGCTGAGAATAGCAAATTTGTGCCCTCTGCTTAGTGGTGTAGTATTTTGAATATTTTATCATTCTATTTTCTGGAAGTAATTTGAATAAATAAATCAAAATACACATGACACAGAAATTCTCTTAAGGGTTCTTATTGTTTGCTCCCTGTTAAATTGAGTAGGAATATCTCAACTTGATAATACAATTTTGTTTTCATAAATAAGCCAGGCTTTTAAAGGCAAAAGCATTGTCTCCCATACTTTTATTTTTCCACTGTGAGAGAATGGATTTTTAATAGTAAGATCCATTGAACGTATAAATCTAAGTAAAGAGTGTGGACAAAGTTTCTTTTATATGCACTGTGATTTTGGCATATACAATTTTATTGCTTAGATTAATTTGCATTTCTTTTTTTTTTAATTTTTTATTTTATTTTTTTATTTTTGAGACGGAGTCTTACTCTGTCGCCCAGGCTGGAGTGCAGTAGCGCGAACGGGGCTCACTGCAAGCTCCGCCTCGTGGGTTCATGCTATTCTCCTGCCTCAGCCTCCAGAGTAGCTGGGACTACAGGTGCCCACCACCACGCCCGGCTAATTTTTCGTATTTTTAGTAGAGACAGGGTTTCACCGTGTTAGCCAGGATGGTCTCGATCTCCTGACCTCGTAATCTGCCTGCCTCGGCCTCCCAAAGTTCTGGGATTACAGGTGTGAGCCACCGCGCCCAGTCAAATTTGCATTTCTTAATATGGGCTAGACTTCTATTTTTTTTTTTTTCCTGAAGAAGCAAAATTAAGCTTTCTTCCAGAGTTAAAAACTTATTCTATTGTTTACACTGACTGATAAGATTTACTTAAATAAGAGTGGAGAATTCAAATGAGTGGAGAATATGACTTATTTTTCCTTTGCCAAAAACATCTTTTTCTATCAGAACCTGTTTTTATTTAGACAGCTTTCTGTTTTTTTCTCCTCAGACTTATTACTGTTGATTTCCCATAAGCTTATAAATAATTGATTATAACAAAATAAAATATAAACAAATCAAAAGCTACACAACTACTGACATAGAACCAATGAAAAGAGATTATAACAATGAGGGGGAAAAAAAGAAAATTGGAATGAGCCAGTCTCAGTTTTAAAAGGCCTGGCACACTGACAAGTGAACATATAAGATCTTGGGGAAATTTTGTGCCTCACTTCTTTTTCCATATTTGTCAGCTCGAATAAAAATTCTGTTTGCTATTGTGCTAAGAGCAATTTCCTAGAGAAAACAAATTTTCAACTTAAATTTCAATCCTATTTGGAATTTTCACGTTATCTTTTCATTTTGCAAAATTCAGAAAGTAAATTACATAAAGTAAGTGTGCCTTCTGAAAGTATAATTTCCATGCTTATCTCTCTGTATCACGGGACGGCTGAATTACTTTGTTAATTTATAATAGTGCTATCCAGCTCTTGTATGCAAAAAAAGAAGGAAAAAAGGAGTGACTCTTCCATGTTCCTAACCCAATGGTTCAAGTTAATTAGACTATAATGTTCACATTTTGAGTTATACAATATTTTTCATAATAATTATATGCTATGGAGACATCTATTAAAAGCCTAAAGTGATCATTTAAATGCAAAATCTCTGATAGAACTCCATTATATTTTTCATACTAAATTAACATTACAGGCTTCTAATGGATGCTTTAATTAGGCATTGATGTTATCAGCAATATTTGGCAAAATAAAATCTGTCACTGTGAAATATTCATTATGTTCAATTTCTGTCAGTCAATATTAAGTGTTTTGTGAACTTTATGATTTAAGTAAGAAGCTAAAACCTAAGTGAGAAACTAAAAATCCCCAAACCTCCGTATGTGCCATACACACAAACACACACAAACACAGTCATTAAGCATCTTTTGTGTTTCATAATTGCCAAACAACCAGCTTCTTTATAGACATTTATACTCAGGGCACTCCATTAGAAAGTGGTCTTAATGCTTCAGAGAATGAAAAACAAAAAGGTCTATTCTAATTGAAATACACATCTTTCGTGAAGCAAATCAAATGACGTGTGTGTGTGTGTGTGTGTGTGTGTGTGTGTGTGTGTGTGTGTGCACCATTAGAAGAATTCCATGGTCAAAAGGGGAAAGAAGAAACAATCAAAAAGGGTCATGGAGTCAGCTGAGATGTAGGGACAGAATAATGCCACACGAAAGGCAGGAGCAGCTCATGTAGGGGGTAAGCAATTATAGGACAAGGGAGAGCTATGCTGGGAGAGAAAGTGGAGATGCTTACCAGTAATTTTCCCATTGGCTTCCAAGGGAGGCTGCCAACTCACAATGACGGCACGAGGCTTCCCTTCCCTAGTAATGACTGTCAAGTCCTTGGGAGCAGAGGTGGGGGCTGTGAGGTGAGACAGAGATAAGGCCTTGTCATTGGATGTGAAAGAAAATAAACATTGTTGGAAATTTCATCATGATGTTGACATTCAGAATCTATCAAGAAGTATATCATGTCTATTTTGCCATTTACAGTTTATTTCAAGGATTTGAATAAGCAAACAAGGATACAAAAATTAATAATTTTTATGGAAATCAAATGATTCCCAAGGTGTGACTATAGAGAACAGAAGAGAGTATGTGTGAATATAAAGGAGAAAAGTACAACTGGTATTTCAAGTGGGCTCACACTAAAAATAAAAGAATCATTATAAGAATGAAGAAATGTATACTTAGTGAGATTGATGATTACATATCTTTTTCTAGTTTATTATTTATTTATTTATTTTTTTTTTTTTTTGAGACAGGGTCTTGCTCTGTTACCTAGGCTGGAGTGCAGTGGTGCAATCATAGCTCACTTCAGACTCAACCTCCTGGGCTCAAGTGATCCTCCCATCTCAGCCTCCTGAGTAGCCGGATCCACTGTTGCACACCACTACTCTAATTTTTAATTTTAATTTTGATTTTTGTAGAGATGGGTCTATGTTGCCACGCTGGATGATTACATGTCTTCAGAAGAATTCTGTTACAACTGCAGGCATTTATAAATAAAAATGTCACCTAAGTCTATACTTCCTTAAAAGCCAAAAAGTTTTTAAAATGAGATAAAACTGGGGTCAAAATATCTTAGCTAGGTGACATATTAGGCATCTTCTAAACCAACAGGAAGGCACACATGAGAAATTAAAATAGAAGACGTAAAAAATAACTATGAGTGTCTTAGTATCAATCCAGCATGAAGTAAGATGGCACGAAGTCCTGCTCCTAAGACTACTTCTCCCACATGTTGTACTCAAAACAATTTTAAATATTTAAAGGTGGCAGCAAACTGGTTAAGCTAGCCAAGGATCTTCCAGGCTTCTTCCAATCTGCTCTCTCACTTTCTACGTTTTGGAAGACAAGTTTTCCTTCTGGGTAGCTCACAATGCCACAAGTCTGTTATCCACGGCAACTTTGCTACCCTTAGTCTAACAAAGGCAGATTCAGAACGTATTGGGTTCCGTGTTTGGGATCTGGAGTAATTTCCTGGTCTCCACATAAAAATTCTGTGTAGGAAAAGATAGTTAGAAATCAGTCTCTAATTCTGAACTCATCTTCACCCTATTCTCTTTCGTACTTCTGTTGGTCATATATTGCAGAATCTGGACATTATTAACACTGTATTTCTAGTATCTCTTCCTGAATAGTGTTCCAAATATGAGCCAAATAGAGGAGACATCAATCATTCCCATCTATCATACTATTTTCTTTCCAACACCGTGATCTTCAAAGTCACTGGGATTCCAGGTTAACCAAACGTGCACTTAATTTTAATCATTGACAATGTACTTAATATATTCACATTTTCAAAAAAGAAGAAGGGATGGATGGAGAAAGAGAATTAGAAGAGGAGGGGGGAATGAAGGAGAAGAAAACATAGGTGGAGTATAGTTGATCCCTTAGTAAAAAGACTGCATAGATACTAATACAGTATAAAATAACATATGCAGTCTAATATAATATGATATATATGGCTTAATGAAACCATATCCGGACATTCTTGCAAGAAATGCAGATTCATTATGGCAAAATACTAAAAAGACAATGCTGTCTTAAAGAAGGATTATTCTCACAGAGAGGTCATTCAGGATATTTTCCCGGCTATGAATAGGAAGCTAAGATATAGTCACAAAATAACTTAGATTAGTATACATCAAACGTAATAAGGAATTTTCCACTTCTGGAAGTAATTAAAATCTTTGTCTTTTTTACTAGTGAAAATAGCCTGTTTTGTCTTAACTATGTTAAAATTCAAATTGATGTTTGTTTAGAAAATAGTCAAATGAGGATGATTAGATTGCTTCACTGAATCTGTTACGCATTCAAAAAGGATAAAGTGATTCTTCAACTTTAGCTATCAATATAATACAATGAAGAATTAGTTATTTAATTTAAAAAAATCTAACAACCAATCTAATTCAGGTGCTGTGCAAGCTCTTATTTTTCCTCAAGTCATGTGAATATTGGTGAATAAAAATTTGGTATTGGAATTAATGACCTAAATGTCTAGCATTATTATGTGAACTGCACACTGTTCCTTAATATTTGAAAAATAATATGGCCCTCACAATTTCAATAATCCCTACTAAGTCGAGCAGAATTCCTCTGCCTTGCTCTTCTCCTGAGTTCTTGAGTTCTGCCTGGAATGATTTCTAGAAATTCTTCATTGTCTACCCATTCTCTTTGGATTAAATATAAATAAATAAAAATAAACACCAGGACCTCTAGGATTTATATTCTGTTTTATTTTATGTACTTCATTCCCCTTGTTGTCCCATGAACACTGTGCTCAACTCACTTTGAGCCAATCATAAGTATCTCTTTAACACATCATCTTTCTGACACCTGCTTGGGTATTTTTGCACATGAGTTTTCCATTCTTTGGAAGTCCCTGGAATTAGTATGTGATAATTCAACTAAGCCATAGCTCAAACCTCATTTATTTTGTGAAACTTCCTCTTATTTTTCCAGACAGAATCTGTACTTTGTTTGCTCTGATTTTAACTTGTCCACAATTTTATGATTATATTTCTGATATTACTTCAGGAATTTAAAAAAATGCTTTTTCTTTTTTATTGGACCACAATTCGCTCAAAGACATAGACTATATTCTCCTTACCAAGTTCGTATCTCAAGGCATGACAATTATAAATTAACATTATTAAAAACCCTTAATTAATATCTTGGTCCACTAGACAAGCACTGCCCTCTGATTTCTTTTTTTTTTTTTTTTTTTTTTTTTTTTTGAGACGGAGTCTCGCTCTGTCGCCCAGGCTGGAGTGCAGTGGCGGGATCTCGGCTCACTGCAAGCTCCGCCTCCCGGGTTCACGCCATTCTCCTGCCTCAGCCTCCCAAGTAGCTGGGACTACAGGCGCCCGCCACTACGCCCGGCTAATTTTTTTGTATTTTTAGTAGAGACGGGGTTTCACCGTTTTAGCCGGGATGGCCTCGATCTCCTGACCTCGTGATCCGCCCGCCTCGGCCTCCCAAAGTGCTGGGATTACAGGCGTGAGCCACCGCGCCCGGCCCCCTCTGATTTCTTTGGCTCTCATTTTTTCCTATACTTCCATTTCTTTATTAAGTACATGAATGGAAGGTAACATTTAAGTTTCAGAAGATTTCAGCCATAGGAATTGTATTGGGCATTTGTTACTTGCACTGTCCAGCATCCCATCCTCTCCTCTTCCTTTTAAAGGAGGACTTGTTTTTTCTCTTTGGAAAACAAGCTCTCCTCTATATCATGAAAGCTTGGTAGCAATATCAGTTGGGAATTCCATGGTCTTATCCCATCTTCTCCTTAGCTGTGTGATCACCTGTCTCAAAAGATGCCAATAATATTCTCTCTTTTGTGACACTGAATCTACATACAAGGAAATAAAAAAGGTGGAGTCAAATAATTACTATGGTAGCACCTTGAAGGGATAAACCAACAGTTCCTCACTTCTACAGCCTAGGAATAATAAGGCTGATGCCTGTCTCTTTCCAAGGCCTAATTATTTAAAGTGTCCTTCCTGTCACGTTTATTTTACTTCAGTTAACCAAAACCAAATGAAGGATTCATTATCTGGACAGAATGAAATGCTTGATTTCAAAAAATTTCCAGTCACTCGTATCTTTATCACAAGCCATTTCAACACATAATGGTGTAGCCCCATATGGTCTTTATCTTACTGCAGAACTAGAAGCAAACTTTAGAGTTATTTTATTCACTGAATTTCCTTCTCACAGTTATAAACCTGCAGACACTTGTGAATTACTTCTTACTTCTCATCATCACTCAGGGATCCTATCCATGTGCTATTTACACCTTTGTCCAGATTATTACCTTTTCTACTAACCACATTTCTAAAAGTTAGTATCTTTTTGTTAGCAATGGGTCTCACCACTGGTGTCCCTACAAGGCTAGGCGGTTGATGAGAAATCAATAGGGTGCATATATCAAGTCAGATGTTGGTGTGCATTTTATGTTTATGAGAGGAAAAAAATGAATGAATTTGCTTGTATTAAGATGAAAATACTACTACTTCTCTTTCACACAGGGAAGGCCAAATTTCTTACTATTTCACATTTATCTACATTCATCTCCTTTCAAGTAAAAAGGAAGAGTAGACTGTTTACTTGTTTACTCTATCCAATAGTATGTATCTCATCCGGCTGGTCTTATTAACCCTAAGAAGCTGTGAACATTGTGCATTCAGGGTGGAATTCTGAGAAGAAGAGATAATAACAGGTAAAATAGAAAAATAGGATGTTAAAATTAAATTAGGTCAACTAGAAATCTTCTTGTTGAAAGAAGTATCCACAGATATGTAAAAATATTCTCACTAGAACTCTAATAGTTAAAATAATAGTTGGAGTTAAAAATTAGAACTGCAATCCCATGGGACAAATTCTAATGGAAAGATAAATTCAACTTACCCAGGAAACAGCTTTATTAGCATTTTTTTAAAATTTGAAAATTGGTGCAGTTTACCCACAAATATGATATATTATGAAACCCATCAAAAAAACATGTTAAGCCCTGGATTCTTCAGAAGTTGGATTTCTGTGAACTATAAATGTCAAGTACACTGCATCCTTGTTAAAGTTATAAACTCTACATTTACGATCCATAGTAAATGTGACCAGTAAAAATTACAGTGAATTGCATTACCCTAGATTTGAACTATTTAAAATTGCATAAAGGTCTTCTATTATGTTACCCCATTTCCCAGGAGTGAACAAAACCACCTGGAAACTCCTTCCCATATCCAGCCAAGGTTATTCACAGTAAATATCCATGAGACTTCGGTTGTAATGCAATGCTTTCTTTTGCATCTATTTTTCTTTTTTTCAAAATGAGAAATACCTACCATGACAATTGTTCAAAGACACAACTGTTTTGGACCAAGTTCATTGGATGGATTTCTGTTCTTTACTTAAATGTAGTGAAAAGAAGATTTATAGTCAGATCCCCTGAGTTAACACCCTGAAGAAACCGTGTATTAATCATGAAAGCAGATTACTTAAGCCATTGGAGATTCATGTTTTTTCTAGTGTGAGGAGAATACTCTTAGATATAAAAGTGCTATGAACTATAGAGGATGAACTATTTTATATAGGATAAGGTATAATTGAGACACCATAGGGAACACATGTTCTAATTTCCACAGAACCTGGGAAACACCATTATCAAGGGTCCAAAGTAGACATTTCCTCACATACCTGCTTCATACGTGGTGGCATGTGCAGTCATGCTCCAAGTACTGGACCTTCTGTTTTTTGTTACCATGACCGAGAATTCATACATTGTGTTTGGTTTGAGGCCTGTTGCTGTGTAACTTAGAGATGTTGTGTCTTCTGACTATACAAGTAGGAAATAGCAAAGAGATAAAAAATAAACTCTATCAACTTGGTAAATCAAGACATATAAAAAGACTATTAAATAAGCTAACACAAAAGTAATCTACTCCCAAACAGCAGAGGAGTAGAGCATAGCACTGACTCGAATTCCCATCTATTAACCAGTTCACGCTGGCTGATTATACATTTACAATATAACCAATAAAATTAGGTATTATGGTTGTCCAAAGGGGCTACTAGATAGAAAATTTTCCGAGGTAAGATATGTTGAAAGGTCTAATAGGTTAAAGCATATTTTCCATATGATCAGGCATATGAGACTATGCCTCTTATAAATATCACTTTGTGCTTGGTATTTACATATCTTTTTTCAAAGTTAAATACTTACCTTTATTACAGAACCAGAACAACAGGACAAATTCCACTTCCTTCTGTCAACTCAATTTTTGAAATTTTCTGCATTGAACTTAATTCATTTATAATCAAAATCTGTGGTTTTTTTGGCATAAGTTTTAATGTTGTATATTTTAAATAGACCATTGTTATTATTTTCCACTTGTAACGAAGTTAATTGATTAGAGTTCTACTGCTCATCATGTATCTCAAAAAGCCTTTAAGGTTTAAACTTTTAGTGCTTCCAGAATCCATTTACATCTTATAGAGAACATGAGACAAAAGCAATGCTGAGTCACATGGTTTTCATTCTTTGTGTAGACTTCACATTAAACAAACATTTAACGATGGTAACTGGAGCAATTGATCAAGGAAGGAACAGCAATTTGGATAAATACTAAAGGATTACATTGGTGTTTAAAGTGGTGTTGGTATTATTGAAGTCTTCTGAATTCATTCTTTGTCTTTTAAATGACAAGTTAGAGATATTTTAGTAGAAAGTAAATTATAGTTCTTTATTGCTTACTCAAAATACCAAAACGGGTAATAAAGAAAAAACATGATGCAAGGTTTAATCCATTAAAGTATATTTTCCATATAAGCAAAAAAAATGGGACTATTCCTCTTATAAATATGATTTTGTACTTGGTATGAGGTATCGTTCTTCGAAGTTAAATACTTTTATTTTAAAACATTACATTTATTATCTATTTATGTCTAAAATAATTAAGAAAAGCTCTTTTCCCCCACTCATATCATACGTATCTTACCCTTACTACTGAAGGAAGGGATATCTTTTTTTTTTTAATTCTACTACGAATCCTTCTTAGGTTATAGTTATGAAAATTGTATATTTCATTACACCACCAAATAAATATGTAACTGTACTAATAACATTTCGGTGATTTGCCTATCCAGCCTATTAAAGTGATGACCTCAAATATTTATCAGAAGTCTTCTTAAAAATAATTGTAGGTTGGCGCTGTGGCTCACGCCTGTAATCCCAGCACTTTGGGAGGCCGAGGCGGATGGATCACTCGAGGTCAGGAGTTCAAGACTAGCCTGACCAATATGGTGAAACCCCATCTCTATTAAAAATACAAAAATTAACTGGGCATGGTAGCATGCACCTGTAGTCCAAGCTCCTTGGGAGGCTGAGACAGGAGAATTGCTTGAACCTGGGAGATGAAGGTTGCAGTGAGCCAAGATCAGGCCATTGCACTCCAGCCTGGACCACAGAGCGAGACTCCATCTTAAAAATAAAAAATAAGAAAAACCTGTAAAAATATATGCCCTAAATAAATGTAAATATTTTTGGTATAATCAGGAAGATGAAATTCCATCAAATAAAACACAAAGTGGTCAGCTAGTATCTGACATGCAGATATATTACTTCCATTTTTGCTTTCCTTCGTGATCATGAACAACTCTAAGTCTTAGAAATGGAAATAAAAGGGAGAAATGAGGCAATAAGAAGTATTTTAGGTAAGAGGGAAAGATCATATCTCAATAAAAACAGTTTCTGAGCACAGACACCACTGGCATTTGAGAGGCCAACAAGTAAGATCGTCTTTGTGTTCTAGACTGACACCTTTGCATTCTATAAATACCATGAATTACTGAGTTTCCTCTAAAACCTCATAGAAAGCTACAGCTTATCTTAAAAAAGCCTAGAAATACTTTGGAGCAACATGGCCAGTTATCTTTGTGAGCACAGAATAACCAGATGGTACCTGTCTGAGCCTTACTTTTTTTTTTTTTTTTTGAGATGGAGTTTCGTGCTTGTCACTCAGGCTGGAGTGCAATGGCACGATCTTGGCTCGCTGCAACCTCAGCCTCTCGGGTTCAAGTGATTCGCATGCCTCAGCCTCCCAAGTAGCTGGGATTACAGGCGCCCCGCCCCCCCACCACGCCCAGCTAATTTTTGTATTTTTTTAGTGGAGACAAAGTTTCACCATGTTGGCCAGGCTGGTCTCGAACTCCTGACCTCAGGCGATCCACCCGCCTCGGCCTCCCAGAGTGCTGGGATTACAGATGTGAACCACTGAGCCCAGCCTGAGCCTTAGTTTTCTTGTGTGTAAAATGGAGACGACCATAGCACTGACTTCATAGCATTATTTAAAGTGCAAACTAAGACAAGTAAAGCATAGCGTTTGGCCCAGAGAAAGTATTAAATAAATCTTAACTACATTATTTCATGCATTGTCTCTTGTTGTATGTAATTTTAAGCATGTGTTATATGCTCCTCCCATTGAGTTGCATGCAGTTTGAGAGCTGAGACTGAGTCCTGCACAACTTCATATCCTCTGTAACATCCATATTATATCTAGTAAGCACTAGTCAACACTCGATGGATATATTTTGAATAGAAATTCATATAAAACATCATATGATTAAATACTTTAATAGAAAAACATATAGAAAATGTCTCCATTTGATCAGGAAAGTTAATACAGGGTTTTAGACAATCAAAACATGAGCATCTGTATTATAGATTTGGGAGTAAATGGAACTAGAAGGACACTCTTGTGGGGAAATCCCTGGATGATGCCATTGGGTCACCTGAGATCCTGCTCTAGTTTAATGAGGAATTTCTGTCAAGTTATATCACCTACCTCTGTCTTCCTACTTAACTACAAAGAATCTCATTGTTTTTACAGTAAGTATGGATATTTCCATCATATAGATGAGAAAAATGAGACTGAGCAGGTTAAGTTTCATGACAGGAGGTTGCAAAGCCAACCCATGAGCCCAGGTCATGTGGCTCCATGTACATTTTGTTTGTTTCCTATTGTGTGTATGTCCTGCCTACCTTTTAAAGCTGTAGTGGAAGTGAGATGAAGTAAAGATATGACATTGGCTTGAAAAGTACAAAGTGAAAACTCAAAGAGTCTATCACCATTATTTGTAAAATTTAAATTTGTTTTATATCTTTCTAGTTTTCTCTAACCCTCCTCATATCAGGGTATGGATATATAGGGGGAGGGAGGGAGGGAGAGAGGGAGAGAGAGAGAGGGAATAGTACATTAGTAATTGAAAGCCTTCTGTCAGGGAGGATGAAGGGAAGAGGAACAGTTAAAATCTTTTTGGGCTGAGTCTCACCTCACAGGCACTCTTTGTGAGATTCAGTAATTCCATGTCTGCTGTAGTAACTATTCAACTGAAATAATTTGCTTCAGGAAATTTTGGAACTCAAACCATTCTGAAGAAAACAATCATTTTTCCTTAGAACATTTCACATTCTGGCAAAGTCGCCATGGCCATTCTGTGAAATGAATGTATCTACAAAGTACAGCAATTATGACATAAAATTTTTAAAGTGGAGAAAGTAGCCTTCTAAAAGTAAACTTAGAGAATTGGGTAATCTATATAAAAAGAGACATTCTTTAATGGTCTCATATGTTTCATTGGTTGTCTTTTCTGATAATGTTATCTTTATTTATAGTTCTGCTGAATCTTAAATCTACTACTGTAAGGAGATGGATAGGGTACTTACCACATACCTTATAACAATGATACTATTTAGACTTGCCTGGAGAGTTCTTCCAAATACCTCACCTAACAGGGCAGCAGTACCAAAGAAAACTGTCTTTAAATGGTTTCAACTAAAATCTGATTTATGATGAAATGTGAATTTTATGCCATTTAAAAGTTGAAAGACACCACAGGAAGATCCAGCATGGCTATGGGGAGAGAGAAGCAAGCTTACAGGATTGGTGGTGGGATTTAGCTATAGCTCCAGGATTGGGGTTAAAAAACATCCTCGAAATATTTTCATCCCCCCAAAATCACTACTAGCTTGAGGCTGGATTCAGGAGGATGGTAGTTCAGTGAAAAGAACATTGGCTAAAGTATAAGGAGACCTAAAATCTCCTCAAGAGCTACCCCAATCAAGCGGTTAAGAGAACACAAAAGGAGTAGGAAGAAGACAGCCAGGGTTGAACTATTTGATTTCTTAGTTGTTGGGTGGCATTTATGCTCTTATTTTCAAAACTGACTTCTTCACTCCCAATCAGTATCTTGTGAAGTTTTAAGTTCTAAATGTGTTTTTATACATTATATCTCTCAAATAACTTATGAATTCTTTTAAGTTTATCCATAGAGCTGAGTGTATAATTCATCCTAAAATTATATGTAGTAAGTAACAATGACTACACCATGTTTTCTTTCAAAATAAACCATCTCTATGGTGTAGTACATTTCTAGGTACATAGTAGGTTCTTGACAACTACTTGTTGATCTTCTCATTTTTGTCTACATTTGTATATTGTCTATATATACTAACATCATAGCAGTTTTAGGAGGTAACAAAATTATCTTAGTATATAACTTGTTGTTATGATCCCTGAGGCTGGTTGATAGAGATTTGAAACTGGTAATGACTGTCTCAAATATGTATCTCTGAGGAGCTCTTAAAGAGGTTGTCAGATAACTCTGTGATAAGGACAAGAACAGAGAGCTGGTGAATTCATATTAGCTAAATGGGAGTGTGGATTGTGAGTTTTCTTTACCATAATAGTGTGTTTTCAAGGCTAAATGAAGTAGATGTTAATGGCTTAGAGTGCTGAGGTTACAAAAAAATATCTTCAACTTATCTATTCCCAGTTATATTCACTGAAAGATGAGTCTCTGTGACATTAATAGGGTCGCTTTGTAAATCAATCTAGATTCCAAATGGAAAAAAAAAAAAGATACCAAAATCCAGAAAATTAACATAGATCTCTGCTATTTTAAAGGGACAATGGCATTCTCTTGCACAGAATCAAATCATTTATACAAACTCAGCATCTGGTGAAAAGCAAATAACGTTTTACAGCACTTGATGTTTTCCTACCTTGCCTTAGAATTGTTTCCTAAAATACAATTATTCTCATGTTAATCTTAGATATTGAGTTATTAAAATGCTTTGTTTTTCTACATAGATACACAGCAGCAAAACGACTCATGACAGTCCAGGAGAGGTTTAAAACAATGTGTTAAACAAATGTCAGTTCATTTTAAATTTCATGCTATCAATTAGAACTTCACCTTGTATTTTGCACTTGCAGAAAAGCTGGTTCTCCACCGGACGGTGTAAAGTCGCACCTCAGACGTCTTTTGGTTCTTAGGGACAGAGTTGTCTGCCCAGCTGACCCTCACAGCATCATGGGTAAGAGCCACAGCCTGTACACCTACTGGTGGGAGCATGGGGGTGGAGAGATCTGGGACCGAGGTGGGGAAATCATCAAGCAAAGGATAATAATCAACTGGGTCAGTGGGATCTGGGTTTAAAAACCCACCAAATGAAACAAACAAATAAATACGTAAATAAAAGCGTTAAAAAATAAATATCAGTGGTAACACATCACAATGAGTTAAATGCATGGCAATAATGATGAAAGGGAACATGAGAAGAACAGAAAAAAATGTAATTAATTCAATCGGAAAACACATTAGAAACAGTATTGCTATATTGCAAAAAAGTAATTGAATATTTTCTATAATTTACTCATTCTCTTAGAGTGGTTTTATCAATTTGACTGTCACTTCTGCTTATATATTTTAAAGACTATTTTTTAAATGTTGCACATTGCTTCTTAAAAGATCTAGTTACAGGATCGATCAGTTTTATTACTATATAATTTAAAATAATAAGATAAAAATGGGGGTTCCAGTTTATTTCTGCCTACAAAAAGCTAATTGCTTATCTAATACCTAATTTTTTGTTTATTTTCTCCTCCTTCTCTAACTTAATAGGGTTTCTCTGTTTTCATTGTTGCTTAGCTTATATCTGCAAACACATTTCCTGGGCAAGAAACAAATAAATAATAAAGAACAAAGTACCCTGACATCCACAGCAACCTGTGTGTGGCTGTGATTGCACAAAACCAGAGTGACCAGGTACACATGATCCCATGGATCAATTATATATTTGATAATTAAGTTTCAGACAGCACCTGGTTTGTCAGGCTTTCTTAGACTGAAACCCTTGAAAATGTAGAAGTGTGATTTTACCCACATTCTCACAGAGTAATTAGCTAAGTTTTTAGTCTTGGTAGGAGTTCCCATATTACACATTCCTACAATTTTATATTATTGGATGGCAAGACAGGATTAACTACCTACAGACTTATGAGATTTGCACTGAGGTATATACATGCTTTGATCCATAATATAATGGGAATCTGCAAAATGATGTGTGTGTTTTTACAAAATTCTCCAAAACACCTTGTAATCATGTTTATGCTGTGATATCAGAATAAGAGAAGCTGATTTTGTGGCCACAGTAACAGCCTAACTTTGAGCATTTGATTTTGTACTTAAGACATTTACACTTAAAAAATCTTTATATTATGTAGTGCATATTCTAAGAAAAATAATATGTGATAATATAACTCTCAGGCTGGGCATATGATAACATTTGGGGAGATGAGACCTACTAATATGCTGGGTGTCTACAGCAGCATAATACAGGGTTTATTTTTTTCAACAGCCTAGTTTAAAGTGGAGTGACTGCTGGCTGGTTTTGATGATTACTTCACTTTGTCCACTGCATTTCAAATGCCTATCCCCTATTCATCACTCTGTTTTCCAATGAATTATTCAGTAGTTTACTAGTTTGTGGTCTTTGGAGCAAAATATAAAACTGAAAACAAAAACAAAAATAAAAGGAGAGAGAGAGAGAAAGAGAAAGAGAGTTGTGTTTAAAATTTAATGACAGAGCCCAGGCTTTCTGTATTTTATTTGATGTCTCTTTTTATTAAGGGATCCTTTAAACTCAAATAGATTTATAAAACGATGAAGGGGAAAGAGAAGACGTTGCAGTCTCCACAAGGATTCCAATCATTCATCGGTTTGTGTAGCAGTGGAAGACATTTTTGCCAAATTAAAGCAGGTGCTACTTTGTTTTACTTGTTTCTAGTTTTAGCTGGCTTTACAAGAAGAACGTGATACACATATGGGACGTTTTCTAATTTACAAACTCCTCTTTTGACCTATTTTACTGTTTTCTTAATCCAGTTTTATTGGTAAACATACATTAACTGTATAGTTTTTTCACAGGTGCCATACATAACGTTTTGAAATAGGGTGATTCTTCTTCAAGAAATGGAAATAGTCAATCCTGCTATTTCTGATCTTAAATGGGTATACTATTCATGACCATTCTTACTGAGTTTCTTGGAGTCAGTTCCAGAATGCTTCTCTGAAATTTCAAGCAAGGGTGTTGGGTGGTATTTCTTGATGGACTTACACAGTCCAGAAATTTCTATCCTTGGCCAAGTTTTTTCTTTCCCATTTTATGGAATAATATTTTTTCAGGTGTGGCTTGTCATCCTTCTTGACACTTCCTCCAGAGCTGTGCTAGTACAATGACCACTAGTTATATGAACTAGTTAAGTTTAAATAAATTAGAATAACAAAAAATTCACTTCCTGTGTAGCACTAGGCAATTTCAAGTGTTAAATTGCTATAAAAACCTAGTGTCTGATGCAGATATAGAGCATTTCCAGCAAAGCAGAGCGTTATCGTGCACAGCAAGCACAGCTATTAATACATATTGCATATATTAATTGTCTTTTTCTCTCAGGTCAGAAACTATTAATATTTGAATAATTGAATTTAACACATTCTTTTGTTGCTACAGAACTTTTTTCTTTTCTCTTCCTACCACTGGGTGATTTATACGCTGACTCTGAGTGGTTACATTCAAGAGAATTGAAAAAAAATTTAGTAAAAGACAAAATATAGCCTCCAAACTTTTGCTGAGAAAGAAATCCGTTCAATTCCTAACAGGTGTTTTTGTAAGTGCCCATGAATGTTGAGTCATTACACTAACATTCAAAATGAACTTTAGATGGGTGTGGTGACTCACACCTGTAAACCCAGCATTTTGGAAGGCTGAGGCAGAAGGATTGTTTGAGGCTAAGAGTTCAAGACCAGCCTGGGCAACATAGCAAGACTCCATCTCAAACAAACAAACAAAAAATACCAGGTATAGTGGGGCACACCTGCAGTCCCAGCTACCCAGGAGACTTAGGTGGGAGGATCACTTGAGCCTAAGAGGTCAAGTCTACAGTGAGCCATGACTGCACCACTGCACTCCAGCTTGGGCAACAGAATGAGACCCTATCTCAAAAAAAATGAACTTTAAAAATAATGATGCAATTTTACATGTGGATTGTACTTCATTTTAACATTGATAAAGCAGTTGAGAATAAATCAATGAAACAGCGTGTTTTATTAGTCTTCTTCTTTTCATCTTCTTTCCTTCTCCAGGCTCAAGATATCTTGTCCTTAAGACAACAAGAAATAAAGGGCTTTACAGCAAAAATGAGACTCTTAATGCATGTGGCCACGTGAGACTTTCAGCAGCTCTAATGCTGATATTCCCAGTATGGGATGAGGCTCCAGAGCTCACCAACATCTGTGAGCACATGTGTGCAGAAAACTCTATAGCCTGATGCTTATTCTGACTTGAGGTTTTATTGCCTGTGATATATTTTGTAGTTACTTTACACGGGCCCTTGTTCGAGACTGTCCATGGTATGCCTTTGCAGAAGCTTAGAGATAGAGGATGCCGTCTATGTGGCACTGACACTTTTATTAATGGAGTTTCCTTAACCTTTGATTTCATTTATTTGTTCTTTGTTCTCCATGACATGTGGAAGCAAAATAAAATAATTCTGCCACTTCCAGAAAAAGTGTTTTCTTTCCTTTTTGAAAAGGGCTGGAATCACGCATTCTTCTCGAACCCCTTAACTGGCTTTTCTCCAATAAGAAAATTCCTCACACAAATTCCAACTTTTAGTATTATTTCAATTCTCAGTTCCTTTAAGATCTGAGTCATCAGAAAATAAAAATTGCCTGGATCACTGGTGTTTTTGAAACCACCTTGGGAATGTCATATGCTAGAATTAATGCAACAAATGCTAAGAAGAATGAAGCTGATAATGACTCCAGTGGTTCTTTCTGAACAACTTACTTTCAGTTTATTTGAATTCTTTCACCTTTTCCAGTTTCTGATTGAAAAGCGATTTTTATTTGCCACCTCAGTGGTCCTTCCTTGGGGCCATTAGCTTTGGTAAGAGAATAAGAGCTTGAAAAGACCGACTGTAGTATCATTTTGCATGGCCTGATCACAAGTGCCAAGTCACCATGGCAATGAGCGGCTACTGGGGATCTTTTACCATAGGCAGGACAGAGATGGTCACTAAAGGAAAATTATGAGACACAATGGTGCAGCCAAAGTGGCCTGTTTGCTCACAAAGAATCTTGTTGCTAGCAGAGCAAGGGAATAAAGTTAAAATCCCAGACACCCATCTGTTAGCTCTTAGTTTGTAACCCAAACCTCAAGTTTTCTCATCTTTCTATATTTGGAGATAACACGTTTGATAGTAAATATTCTCTGGGGTAATTATTTACTCTTTTAGAGAAGTCATGAACCCCTTTGATTATACAATGAATGATATATACTGTCTCCACAGATAAATAAACATATTGACATCTGCCCAAAATTTTGCATTCTACTTTAGACAGATTGTAGACCTGGAAACAATGGTCAAAGATTCAAAGAGACTACAATAGCAACTTTGCCTTAAATAATACTACTAAAATCAATATAGTGACAGTATTTTCTAAAGGCCATGACATAACAATTATGAATTCAAAGAACAACTGTATTCTTAAGATAGTCTATGAATGAAGCTTGTACATTTGGCAAACAAACTGCACTAAGTTCACATAAATTTGGGCAGGAGTAGAAGCCACGGGATTCCACTATTTATTTTATAACCATTTCTTCCAACTCATCCAAATTTCAAACATCAGTAACATCTCACGTTCTCCGATGCTTGCTATCTCAGATCCTCTGTTTTCGTTAAGGGGACAATATCTGACAAGTTAAACGACGTCCGAAGGGTGTGAGGGGGCAGATTCAATGTATTAATTAGAGAGGGAACTTGGGTTTTACTTGGAGATTTCAGACATAAGTCTGTGGCAGGGGTTTGGGGAAGTAGTCAAGTGACTTTCCAGGGACTCTGAATAGCCCTACAAATGTGTTGCTTATTGTATTTTGGACTAAGCCTACACATGCTAACAAATAACCTCCATAAATAGTTTGGATCTCACCATCTTACCCATTTCTTTCTCAGTATCTTGAGCCCTTTCACTCTTATGTACTGCCTTTACAGTCCAACTAACAGAAAAATTCCTAAGGGTGACAAGGCCTTAAATCAGCTATCCCTTTAAGGTCCTGAGGCCCTGGGCACTGCTGGGGTGACCTGGAGGCCCAGCTCAGGAAGATACCACATATGTCACTCAGCCTAATGCAAACCACCCCAGAAGGCCAGCTCTTCCTTGTCATCTTAGTTTGAAAGACCCTGTGTGGAGAAGCAAGTGTCTATTTAGGCATTTGGCAACCTTTATGCAGGGACAAAGATGGCATTGATTTGAGACAAACTGCTCAGGAGATGGAAGCATGGTATCAGGGCACCAAAACCATGATGCTATTGGGAAGGAACAGATTGAGAGATCTATATTCTCTAAGTCCATGTGCAAATTTATAAACTGAATTCCTCCTACTTAATTTCGACAACCAAAGAAATAAAAAAATGCATGCATATGTGTGCAAGTATACATATGTACTTATCAGACTCAGAGGATAATTATTCTCTGAGGATTATCAGAGGATAATGATAGGATATATTCATTTTTGTTTCTTTGTATTTTATTTTAGTTTTTCTTTTTTCACCATAAATCAAATATACTTTGTCAGAGGAAGATTAACAATTTCACTTACCGGTTATAGACCTGGTGGTGGCACTTTCATAAAGAGGAACTCCTTCTCCGGCATTGTTAAAAGCTTTTAGGGAGATTACATAATGGGAACTTGACTCTGGAGAAAAAACAGAAACAATATGAACGTGTTGATATATTTAATGTATCAAAATACTCAAGGCAAACATTTTCCTCAAAACAAATTTCATATAATCTACTTGGTAAATTGTTTAAGAATGAGTGAGTTGGATTCAGAAAGGAAAGTGGCAGTGGGTGGTAGCAGTAGGGTTTTTTGATCTTCCTCAATCCCCATATGAAAACATACTGAACTACTAGGTAGAAAACCGAAAGCATTTATCTGCTTGCTGCAAACCTATGTGATGATGTGTGCCCTCGAACCCTAATATACAAGTGGGTGTGAATAAACAACCGACAGCCTCATCATCTGTTTGTTGTCTGCATCTGTGTAAGAAACATCAAAGGGAAGCATCAAACCTAAAAACAGGATAATTCTAAAATAGGTATCAGCTAATGCTGGAAAGCACAGCAGATCAGTTCCAGAACAACAAATTTAAACACTCAAAACTGACCTGCAAAGTCTCCTCTCTAGCACTGGGCCCAAACTGGGGACAACCTCCTGTGAACTGATGTAAGATATAACCAAGATTGAAACAATATTGATGAAGGGGAGAGAAAGTCCAGTTAAAAGTAGGGGAGAAGAAGAACCATGAAAATTCAGAAAGCAAGCTGCCATAGTTTTCAGTCTGTATCCAGAGCTGGCAAGCTTTCGTAGGCCCGGAGAGTAAATACTTTAGCTTTGAATGTCACATTGTTTCTGTCAATTTTTATCTCTGTTTATTTGTTTACAACACTTCAAAAATGTAAGAACCACTTATAATTCAGGGGTCCATACAAGAACAAGACCTGCTCCAGATTCTACTTGTAACCTGTAGTTTGCTGAACCCTGTCTATTGAAAAGAACAGGACAGGGAGCTCTATGTATTGAGAAGAGCTCTCTGAATTTCTGAAAGAACAGGAAAAACAAATTACATAAATGTAAGCAATAAAAATGTATTGAGCATCCTGGCTAACACGGTGAAACCCCGTCTCTACTAAAAATACAAAAAAAAAAAAAAAAAGAAAAAAATTAGCCGGGCACTGTGGCGGGTGCCCGAGTCCCAGCTACTCGGGAAGCTGAGGCAGGAGAATGGCGTGAACCTGGGAGGCGGAGCTTGCAGTGAGCCGAGATAGCGCCATTGCACTCCATCCTGCGCGACACAGCGAGACTCTGCCTCAAAAAAAAGAAAAAAAAATTATTGAGGTAAACTTCTTTACAAAATTAGCACAAGAAAAAATAAAATAGGAGAATATCATTCCTATAGAAAAGTACAGAAAATGGATAAAAAGTAGAAGAAAACACCCAAGAAAAATAGATCAAAACTGCAATTTATGATTTCAAAATGAACTAAACTACATTAAGAAAATGCCAGATATGAAAAAGTAACATAAATCAGAAAACTCAGAAATGAGGTGGCATAACTCAAGGAATAGATATATGTAAATTAAAAAATTTTAGACATGAACGGTAACTAGATGAATACAAGTCAAAAGCAAAAACATAACAAAAGAAATTAAGAAGACTGAAAAAGGATTCAGGAGAAAGTGATAAATATTGAAGTTAGAGAAGGAAGATCTAACGTACAGATAATAGGAGTCCTTGATGAGGAAAATCCAAAGGAAAATAAAAACAGAATCACTAAATAAAAAATCTGCTGATTTAAAATAATGTTTTAGGCATCCAGACAAAAATAATATATGACTTAGAAAAAAAAATTAGATTATCAGGCTTTATATAACATTTTACGGCAGAAGAAATTAGAGTAACTTTAGATACTCAACATAAGAAAATGTAATTCAAAGTTTTATAGTCAACAAAAATTAACTTTAAACATAAAGGGTACAAACTTATCCACTTGCAAGTACTCAGGAATATTGTTCCCTGATCCCCAGAACTACTAGTAAATGAGCTTTAGGCATATACGATGACCAGAAGAGATACTGATTTAATAGCTAACTGGTGAATAAAAATTTAATAAACTAAGACTAAGTTAAAGGAAAGATATTTTATTTTGTAATGGCTAAATGTTTTGATATTATAGATATGGTACAATCATAAAACAAAATTAAAGACTAATGACAGTATATGCAAAGATAAATACTTCAATAATTATTATTGATGTTGACACTTTTATTATTTTGAGACTAATGTAATATGGAATAAAGCAAATGGGTAAACATGAGATATTCTATCATCCCCTCTGTCCCTGAGAACCAGATTCTTGGTGTAGATGAAAAGACCTAGAGATGTAATACAGAAAAGGTTAAATAAAGTCTGTGTTCCTAAAATTGAATTGGAAAAATAAGTTTGAACTCAAAATTGTACTTTTTCTCTCTTCCAGCTCTGTCTGCTAAAAAATGTCTGGAAACCTGGACTCGGTAGCAATAACCATCCCTAATACACAGACTGCAGTTTGGGGGAAAATTAATTCCTATTAAAAAGAAGCAGCTTCTCGCAGAACTGGTTGATTCTTAAAGTAGAAAACATGCCAAATGAACCTGAAATATTTTGACATACTAGATAGAACGGAAGCAACTAATAAAATCATGTCAAATGGGTTCAGTAGTCAATTTGAAGAGACTCCCTCAGACCAGAGATAAGGATAATCTGCAAACAGAAAAGCATAAATGCTGTGATGTATGGAAACTCACCAAATATACATAAATGCATAATTTGATAAAGGTATTTTAAAGAATAACAGTTGGTCATTTCTGAGGTTGTGAAATCAGAACATAATTCTAGCTAACAAATAAAAACAAAACAGTAAAATTAAAATATTGCTGTTTTACAGCCCCCATTAATGAATGGATCTAAGCATTAAGCATTAATAATTGCTAAGATAAAATAGAGACAACGAGACAGTATGTGCTTCCTGATGAAAGAACAGACTACTCTCCAGAGTTTTGCCAAAGGGATCAAACCTACTTAGTCTGATCTAGCCTCTGGACCTAAATGACAGATTGCAGAAAACAGAGCAAGGAAACATGGTGAACTTCAATTTATAATACTTCATTAAATTACACATTTGTTGCATGTGGTTTTCTGTATCTGGGTTTTATATCAAAATAAAAAAGCCTTAAAAATGAGTGTATTTATCTCTGATAGACATCTATAAAAATTGATCTGATTGAGTTTTCTTCATAAAATTTGTATGTGACCTAAGTATTAATGTTAAAGATATTGAGACTCTAAACCACATGGATTCAAGAGCTATAATACAGCAAGAAGAATAAAATAAGATTATATCTAATGTAGTCAAAGGGCTTCTATTCAGTGAATTGCTTTCCCTCCAAAAGGGAATATTTCTTTTTTGAAAATGTATGTTGTCAAGCTATTTTCCTAATAAGAAAGTAATCAATCAACAAGTGTTAAATGCGCTTTGAGATCCAAGTACTTGGAGAAGATGAATTTCTGTCAGGTTACTAATATAATTCTGGGCAGAGAAAACAATGAAAGACTATGTAAAATTAAACAATAAAGTATGTGATATAGCTTATGAATGCTATACATTTAGAGGTCTGAAAAATTAGTGAGGATTTAGGTCATCAAAGAAGACTTTTGGAATATATGAACTTTGAACTAGGGCTTGTGAATAAGGGTAGGACTAAGAAGCACTATAGGAGGAAGAAAACATTTCAGTGAAAAAATGGTGAAAATACAATTAGGTAGATCAAAAAGTACACTTTTTTTTCCACTGGGAAATATATTCTTTTGAGTTATTGCAGGATGGACTACGTCTGATTTCAAATATATGAATCATCTATGCACCAAAAATGTAAACATTTTTATTAGGCTTGAGCCATTTAAAATTGCCTTTTTGCAGTTCAAATTCCATTCGCAATTTGAATACATCTCCGTATTTGCATCTATCTAAGTGTTTATCAAAAGAGTGAAAAAGTGATCAGAAATTCCACACTCAAGTGCTTAGGAGGTAGGGGTGTGTGTGTGTGTGTGTGTGTGTGTGTGTGTGTGTTGTTTTTAATCAGAGAGAGAGAGAAAAGAAAAACGGCTAGATTTGGCTACAGTGTATGAGAGCCACTAGGTCAGAGAGGATCTTGGAAAGTATATGATTGATCTAAAGAGTGGAGCCACTATTCAGGTCCAAGATAATATTAGTGTATGGAAGGTAGTCCCAGTTTTGTCAGATTATCTGGAAATCCAGATTTTTATGAGAAATTATCAAATTTTTCAGTGTTGGCAGATAATTTAAATAAATACAATAAATTCCTGTCCTGGAAAATACAATAAATACAATAAATTTCCTATCCTGGAAAAACTATCTCTCTGGACTGAATCCAAGCCTGTGGTCATTAGTCTATAACCTTGGACAGATTCCTACATACCCAACTACATGCCAATATACATATAATCCCGGAAAAATAGATACTGAAGTCTGGTCTTCCATAGTCAAGCCGTCAACCTTTAGAGCAACAACAAACTAGAAACTTTATATGATGTGGTAAGGTGGTGGTGGGGGGGGGGTGGGGGGTAAATATAAAAGAATGAAACAGGTGTTTATGCTAGGAGATTTGAAGTGATTGTTTTATATTCACAGGTCCAATTTGGATTAGGATTCAAAGAATGTTCTACTTAATAGGAAGCCTTTGACTTCCTAATCAGGGTTAACAGCTGTAGCTTATGGATGGTCAGCATAGTCCATGAGACACTAAATTCATGTCTTCATTTTTCTGTTCCCACCACCCAGATGCTTAATTTATAGCTCCATAGAAAATGCACTCTGTAAAAGCTTCTGTAACATTACTGGATTATTACCTTTCAGTCTTTCAGGGTGTATATTATTTCTTTTTTAAAAAAGAAAAAAAATTAAAAATACCTTACTTGGTACTGAGAATACAAGATTCTCATTGTATTGGTTTGAATTTTTAACTTAATCTGAAGCAGTCATCATTTCTTCATCTCCTAACCCCCATAAATTTGAGGTAACTGTCATTCCAAAACAGACTCTTGCTAATATTGATACCTACCAAATCTCGAGTCATCTGAGTAATGACAGCTTCTTTCACTTGATCTTTAGCCATGGTATAGAATATGCTGAGTCGAGAGCTTTATAATTTACTCTCTGTTGGATTAATGAATTATACTAATCACTGTATTTCACCAATACCTACTATGCTGTGCACATCTTAGAGAAGATCAACCTTACACTTAAACAAAAAGTGGTAACAGCTTAGCCCCGTAAAAAGTAAACACACTTGCAATGGACTTGTAACTGGTATAAGAATATCCCATAGAGCTAGGAGTCCTGAAGATGTTTTGGCTCAATGTTTTCCTATCGTCAGTTAGTAACTTGAGGCTCAGGTAAGGTCAATGGTTTTTCTAAAGTAATGCAGAACTACCTAAGTAATAAAGGCTTGGGAAGACTCCACAACCCCTTTGACTGCCTTTTCCAGGAGCTTTCTTTTATGCTTTTCACACTTTAACTGCTCATAAACATCTTTTGGGGAGTCTAGCCTCTGTATTGTGCTCTTGCCAAACTGCATTCTGGACCTACTGAGGAAACAATAGGATTTTGTTCCGGTCCTGATAAAGTTTGATCCAATAATTGATCTTCCAGAACAAAAAACAAGAAAATATTGTACATTTATTAGTTAACAAGTGGGCTATAGTGCTTTGATATCCTTTTATATTGTGATGGAGGTATTTTGTTTGAATGTATATGGAAGAGGAAAGATGCTTTAAGTGTGAATTGGGAGCAAGAGAGAATGAGGGTTTTCTACCAGTATGTAAGAAGGGTGTAATTTACCACTGTGCCACTGGAGAGCAATGTGGAACTATTTTCCTGCACATGCTCAGAGCTCTTAAACTTTAAAACCAGTAAATCACAAAAGAATTGCCTAGAATTGCTCCCTCTACAGAAGCATCAAATGAGTTAAACACATTTAATATTATCATGATGATTCCAAATGAATTAATCATTAATTATGGCCAGACCCCATTGTGCAGGAATACACTTAGTGACAATCATGACAGTAAGTGTATTTTTTTGTACTTGCTAAAATGTTGCAAATATATAGGCTTAAAAATTTATCAGTTGCCTCTGCAAAATAAAGCTCAGCAGTATTTTCTTCTTTGAATTTACTGTGATTTAATCATACTGAAATAATTTGAAAATAAATTTCCAAATAATAATTTGGAAGTCCACGGGAATTCTTTTAAATCAAGAATATTCTGGGTTATTTAGCAGATTTGAAATTATTGATCAGATTTTCATTATTGTTTGGCCAACCTTTCTTGTAGAACACCTCAGTTTGGGATAAAGGAAACTGAAGAAATATTTAGTAACTCGTTGAGCATCCAAAATAGATGGCTCTTGGCCAGTATATTCTCTGTGGCCAGGAAAGGAGAAAATAAATGCACATTCGTTGATCACAGAGATTGAAAAAGACAAGAAATGGGTAATCAGGAAAAGCCTGGGTTCTCCTTCCCCTGAGACTTGGTAGGTGAGAGACCCATTATTCTAAGAGCTTTTTTTGAGGCTTCCCTGAAGGTAAGAGATGAATGTCTTTCTCTGGGGCTGAGGGAATGAATCAAGAAACCTGTAGACAGCTCTTCAGGGCTAGACCAAGATGCTGTACTTGGCGACAAAAGCTGGGGAGAACATCATTATTTTTAATTAATATTTTGTGTGAATTAAATGCCAGTGGCATGTGCCAGATTGACAGCCCAGAGTCCTTTATTCATTACAGATTATATACTTCACTCACTGGCCTCATCCATGCCAAGTTCTTGTCGGGGCCCACTCTGCATGTTCCTGCATCTTTTGCCCTCTCTGTTAGCACTGCCAACAAGTCAATTAGAGAAAATTAGAGTGGTAGCTGCTTTGCTAACGCAGATACCTGCTCATTGCAATGAACCAGGGCTTCCACATTCACAGAATATAGGCCATGGGATTGCTGTCAGACGGTAAATGTTACTGAACACCTTTGACCCCACTGGACCCAAACTGTTTAATTAAATGTAGTGGGTGGAGAGACAATATGGATGATTGCATTGGTCTCTTAAAAGGATGAGCAACACATATTTGAGAAAGATGCCATTTGTATAATGCATTCAATTCTACTTCATTACATATACTCCTTTATAAACGTAATTAATAGCTAATCTAATGGCATCCTGATAAAGATTTTTCTTTTTTTCTTTTCTAGAAATACTGTCCAAAGAATGGTCAGTTTATGACATGTTTTCTCATTTATCAGTCTTGCAGATACCAGCTACTCACCTACTCAGTGTGAGAAAGTATTTGACTCCAAGGAAGAAAAATTAGGGTACATTTTCAATCTTCTACTAAAGTGTATTACCGGGAAGAAAATCAGGTCAAAACATGCTTAGTGAGAAATGTTTCAGTGCTGGGCAGATAGAAGGTGCTTAACAAATATTTGTTGAATTGCTGAATGTATGAGACACAGAAAGGCTAAATTATTTACTGAAGGTTGAATAGCAAGTCCCTAATCAATTTGATCATGGAACTCAGATTTCCTGATCCTAAACTGCACATACTGATACCAGTAGGTGTGTGAAAAAATGAATCCAAAGATATTTTATAATATTTTCCTCTCTCACTTGCATATTCACATTCAATCTTCATCCTTCCATTTGTTCATTCAAAGGGACACTCAACAATCGCCATTGAACATCTTCTGTAAGATATATTATGTATTTTATAAGCTCTCTAGAGTACATAAAGATTAAAAAACAAAAACAAAAACCATTATTTTCCCTAATGAACCTTTTAATAAAAAAATTGTGTTGGAGGTTTAAAAGAAAATCAGGGTCGGGCTCACACCTGTAATTCCAGCACTTTGGGAGGCTGAGGCAGGTGGATAACCTGAGGCCAGGAGTTCGAGACCAGCCCGACCAACAGGCAAAACCCTGTTTCTAATAAAAATAGAAAAATTAGCTGGGTAAGGAGGCACGTGCCTGTAATCCCAGCTACTGTGAAGGCTGAGGCACAAGAATCACTTGAACCCAGGACGCAGAAGTTGCAGTGAGCTGAGATTGCGCCACTGCACTCCAGCAACAGAGCCAGACCCCGTCTTAAAAAAATAAATTAATTAATTAAAATAAATAAATAAACCAGAGCAAAGCCTTCTGGAATCAGAGAGCATTCTCTGTGAAGGTGGCAGTTTTGCTGAATCTTTTGATGAACAATGGCTGAGGGAAAAGAGTGAAACAAGCAAATGCAAGGGCACAGTTCATTGTGGATGCGTCATGCATATTAGAATCAAACTTGAAGACAATAATAACAGCAACTCCTCCTCATTCTCTTTTTCCTAATAGTAACATTTGTTGGATGCCTAATTAGGCCTTTTAACTACCTCCCATCCCTTACTTCATTTATTTCTCACCTTAATCCAGTGTGACATACAGTAAGGACTCCATAAATATTTATTGAATAGATGAGTGTCCTCTTTTTATAGGTAGGTGATTGCTATGGTTTGTTTGAATGTGTCCCTCAAGGTTCATGCGTTGGAAATTTAATCACCAGTGCAAGAGTGTTGTGAGGTGGGACATGTAAGAGGTGATTGGTCACAAGGGCTCTGGCCTCATGAATGGATTAATGCTGCTATTGTATGAGTGGAGTAGTTATTGCAGGAGTGGGTTCCTGTTGAAAAGGATGAGTTTGGCCTTCTTCCTCTCTCTCTCTCTCTCTCTCTCTCTCTCTCTCTCTCAAATGCATCTTTTCTTGTCCTTCTGCCTTCCACCATGGGATAATGTAGCAAGAAGTCCCTCACCAGATGCAGCAGCTCCTTGTCCTTGGACTTCTCAGCCTCTAGAATTGTGAGAAATAAATTCCTTTTCTTTGTAAATTACCCAGTCTCAGATATTCTGTTATAACATCACAAAATAGACTAAGACAGTGGTATCATGTCTAATTCTTAAAGCTCAGCCTTGTATCCTCTGTGTTATCTACCTTTTATAGAATAAGAGATGTGAGTTGAAGAAGATTTTCAACAAGTTTCAAACTGCACTTTTAGGGAAATTGATTCCTCAGAACTAGGCAGTCCAGGGAAAGTGGAAAAGATATTGAAAGTAGGAATACTACAGAAGCTATTGCAATTGTCTGGGCAAAGACCATAGGGGCCTGAACTGAGGTGGTAAAGTATAAATTAAGAGCAAACAATGGACGTGAGTAACATAATTTGTTACTCAATGAAGAAAGGGAAAAATCAAGAGTGACTCTTAAATTTTGAGTTTGATAATGAGATAAAGTTATTGCTAGTATTAGGAAGTCAAGAGGGGAGAAAAGATATTTCTGCTGTCATATTTGATATAGGGAAGAAAGGGCAGCATAGCTAAAGATGACTGTCTGCCTTGGGCTCCGGTCATAGTGTAAGAATTGTGTAAAAAAACCTGTGGTATGGTGGCCTCTTTCTTTGGAGCTCAGGAAAGCAGCACGTGTACTCCAGACACTCTTCCAAATAATTGCTTCCCTATTGTTACCACTGAATTAACTAGATGTCTTAGGGTTCTTTAGACTCAGACTGGAGATAAGCTGCTTAGAATTGTTGGCTCTACGTTGGTGAGTACTACCAAATTTATATGATAGCTTTCATCATCACATTTAGAAAAAGCAAACTCATGCATACTGTGCTTTGCTTTTTGTTTGTTTATTTTTAAATATTTATTTATTTATTTTTGAGACACAGTTTTGCTCACTCGCCGGGGCTAGAGTTCAGTGGCGCTATCTTGGCTCACTGCAACCTCCGCCTCCTAGGTTCAAGCAATTTTCCTGCCTCAGTCTCCCGAGTAGCTGGGAGTACAGGCACCCACCAACACGCCCGGCTGATTTTCAGTAGAGACAGTGTTTCACCATGTTGGCCAGGTTGTTCTCGAACTCCTGACCTCAAGTGATCCGCCTGCCTCAGCCTCTCAGAGTGCTGGGATTACAGCCACACGTCACCGCGTCTGGCTTGATTTTTAAAATAATATTTGTATCAATTATCTCAACAACGTTAGAAAATAGATAGAGTAGGAATGATCATCCCTATTTTAGAAATGGCAAGGCTGAGGTCCAGTTGCAATCACCTCATCAAAAAAGATATAGGTAAGACCCGAGTGCCTTTTTAAGTTCAGGTTTTCTCCTCCATAGTGTCAGGAATAGAAGGTCTGAGTTTTCCTCTGAGCCATTATGCAGAGCAGCCTTTGGTCACCAATTACAGCAAAATAAACATTCCTTACCTGCTCCAGTTGGTAAGCCGTGCTTTGGCAGAGAGCCCTCAGAGTCAGAGAAATGACTGAAGAAATGCTTAGATTACAAAGCACTACAAGCAGCTCACAAGTGGAGCACTTAATGAAATGATTTTTCAGTAAAGCTTTACATCAGAAAATTAACCAGAGACCTTATAACCAAACACACAGGTTTTCCTCTTTTTGTTCACATTTCTCAAAAAAAAAAAAAAAAAAAGAATTAAATATAAGGTGGTAACATTGTATGATCACCTAAGGACTCAATTATTAAGAAATATAAATATTGTTCATTTAGTTAATTCAAGCAAACAAATCATTATTTTAAAAAGTCAGTCAAACTGACTCTTTAGCATAAAGAGAACAAAATAAAACAAAATGAGTTTTAGTCAGGAACAAAAAGAGGAAGCATATCTTTTTATAGATGTTTGTAATTCCTTCCTCTTCCCATTTCCTTTCTCCTTTTACTTTACTTTCTGGTAGCCTTCTCTTTCTTAATCTCCATATTCATTCCTTTGGGTTTCTGAGTGAGGGCAAGGGATCAAAGACATAGCAGAGCATTAAAACAGAAGACATGAACAGAAAGAACTATAAAGATAAAGATACAGAGAGGCTAGGAAGGAAGATCAGAGGTTAGTATATGAACCTGAGTCCCTGTTTATGAGCACTTCCTGCACCAGATGTCAATCCTGAAGTGCTCTGATGCACTTATCTTCGTAGGAACCCTAAAAGGTAGGCACAGTGATTGTCCCCATTCAGGAGATGAGAAAACAGAGCTCATTAAGTAGCAGTGCTCAGATTCCAAGCCAGGTCTGTCCTACTTTCCAATCCACCCATGGGTCACTGCAGGATAAACACTGAGTAAGACAGCAAGTAGGCCCAAATGGTTTACACTCTCTTTGAAATGCAAAGGTGGAAATAATGACAAGACAGAAATAATCTGGAGGCTTTACCATACCTCACTTTAAGAAGAGTGCAGATTGCATTTTTAACTCTTTAGTAATAAATATTAACCAACATTTAATTTTCTCCTAACATCACAGTATGTTAATATATGTCATGGTGACTATCTTTTATACTTTTATTTTGCCATTTCACTCAACAAGTGTCTGAGACTGTGTGTATGTGTGTGGGTACGTGTATGAATACCATTTAATTTTCTCCTAACATCATAGTATGTTAGCATATGTCATGGTTGACTATCTTTTATATTTTTATTTTGCCTTTTCACTCAACAAGCATTAAGACTTTGTGTGTATGTGAGTGTGTACGTGTGTGTATGAATGTGTGCATTGAACTAGCCTGCTCAGGATCTTGTCTTCAATGGGTGACATCTTTTGTTACCTAAATGCTAACCTAATCACCCAGCATGCCAGTTAGATGATGCTCACACAAATAATACATAGTTTCATGCATATATGTGTGTATTTATTTAAAATCTTGGATGTCATCTATTTGTGCACTGTTGCTTCTGCTTTTTTCATTATTCAGAGGCTAAGTCCCAATTAAGGCAATCTACTAAATACTATAAAACAGCATTGCCCCATGGTACCTTCTGTGATGATGAAGTTTTCTGTATTATTGCTGTCCAATGTGGTAGTCACTGGCCACATGTGGCTGTTGAGTACTTACAATGTGAGTAGAAGAAATGTGGATCTATTTTTTTTTCATTTTATTTAATTCATTCAAATTTAAATAGCCATATATGGACAGCAGCTTCCACACTGGACAGCACACCTACATAAAAGCTCTGTTTACCTTTGCCTCCCATGGCATTGCTGTAGTTGCTACAGCCTGTGGACAATGCCAAGGGCAGATGAAGCAGATTCAGTGTAAAGGATTCCTGTTACTATTTATCTGTTTTATATTCAAATGTAAAGTAAGTCAGTACATACACATACTATGACTTTATAGCATGGGTAGGAGTTTAATAGTTTGCATACATATATCACACTTGAAGATAACAAAAATAAAGCATTTGCCTTATCTCATTCAATTCCTTCTATATGACCTAATCAATTTCTCTCCTCATGGCAATGGCAATAAGATTGCCTCAGTTCATGAAACTTTCAAAAACTCATGATTTTCAATTCTGTGCTCTAAAATTTGGGTTTGTTGTGCATTTGAGTATATACTCAACTCATGAACACCTGAGTAGGTGGAAAAATTGTAACTAACAAAAAGGGACATTAAGTTAATGATAATTCTAAGATGACAGTAAAACTGAACTCATTTTTAACCTTGTGCTTTAATAAAACATGATGAAATGAAGTTAGAATAATTATGTAAAAATAAACAACTGGTAAAGAATAATAACTACAATAATGAGTCGTACAAACAATATAGCATTAGGACATGTGATTATAAATAAATATAGCTTCTGGCCAAAGTTCTCAAGAAAATCAAGTAGCATTTTAGTTGCTCACTTGGATTATTTCGGGGGAGTAGAGGAGAGAGAGGGGATAAAAACAGAAAAAATTAAATGGACTTAACATAAATGAGTCAAGAAGCTACCAAATGTCAGCATCCGCAGGAATATTCACTAGATCTATTCATAGTAAAATTCTTGGTAAAAATTACTATCCACATGAGGAAACCAGAGAAATCAAAGGCACAAAAGACTTATGGGTCCCAGAAAAATACATTCAATTATAACATTACTGGTGTATATTTGTATTTTAATAAACAATTTTGTGCATGATTGCTTTAAATTGACCTAGTTTTTAATACAGCTGCATGTTTGGAAAATTCTGATAAAGGAAAGCAAACAAAAGAAAATGATGAATAGCAACTTATTCATTTGTGGAGAGGCAAACATGTGGTTAGGCTCAGCTTTCTTTAGCCTTTTGTTTAGTGAGAAGTGGGAAGAAGATATGAAGCCAGAGAAAAATACAGAGATGCAAACTTAAAAGGGGCTACAAACCTAGAAGGGGTTATGACTCTAATGAAATCACATGGTCTCTGACTTTCAGTGGGTATTACAGAGTTCTGAGGATCAAGGCCCAGAAGTACAGAATTATTTCAGGACAGATTTCTCCCTAAGGAGGCACAAGAGAGTGGAAGGCCGTGGAATTGGGATTAGACACACCAGCATTAGAAGTGAATTTTCAACTACTATTCTTGAAAAATTTTTTAACTTCTCTAGGTTTCATATATGCTTGTCTTCTGTAATTTGCAAATGTAAATTATATCACTTTTATTTAATACATATATAGTTGATTTTTTTTAACTTTTAGGTTCATGGGTACGTGTGCAAGTTTGTTATATAGGTAAACAGCATTCACGGGGGTTTGGTGTACAGATTATTATTACCAGGTAATAAGCATAGTACTCAATGGGTATTTTTTCTAATCTTCTCCCTCCCCCTACCCTTTACCCTCAAGTAGGCCTCAGTGTCTGCTGTTGCCCTCTTTGTGTTCATATGTTCTTACTGTTTAGCAAACACTTATAAGTGAGAACATGTAGTATTTGGTTTTCTATTCCTGTTAGTGGCTTAGGATAATGGCTTCCAGTTCCATCCATGCTGCAAAGGCCATATCATTCTTTTTTATGGCTGCATAGTATTCCACGATGTATATGTACCACATTTTCTTTATCCAGTCTACCATGGATGGGCATTTAGGTTGATTCTATGTCTTTGCTTATTTGAATAGTAAGTACAACAATGAACATACACACACATGTGTCTTTATGGTAGAACAATTTATATTTCTTTGTGTATATTTCCAGTAATAGGATTGCTCAGTCAAATGGTAATTCTCTTTTAAGTCCTTTGAGGAACTGTCACATTGCTTTCCACAATAACTGAACTAATTTACACTTTCACTAACAGTGTATAACTGTTTCTTTCTCTCCACAACCTCATCAGCATCTGCTATTTTTTGACTTCTTAATGATGGCCATTCTGACTGGTGTGTGACAGTATCTCATTGTGGTTTTGATTTGCATATTTCTAATGATTAGTGATGCTTAGGATTGTTTCATATGCTTGTTGGCTGCATGTATGTCTTCTTTGAAAAGCGTTGTTCGTATTATTTGCCCACTTTTTAATGGGCTTTTTTTCTTGTAAATTCTGGACATTATAATTATAAAATAGTTGATATAATATTTTAAAACAACTAGATATTGGGTTAACATTCAATAGAAGGTATTTGTTTTATTATTATGATCTGTACTGGCTGACACTTCTCATAACAATTCATTATAAATTTAATTAAAGTTTTGTTCATTTTCTTTTTATTTTAGGGCCCTAATTTATCTCTGATGCCTATTCTGTCTTTTAAAAACCTGCAAGAACCATCATCCTAGGGTAGCTGTGACCAAAAACATTTTTTCTTTACCACTTCCATGCCTATGCAATAACACTGAGAATAACTGTTCCTCTGACACTTTGCAGATTACAAGAGGAAATGCAATCATGCTTTTGACTAGTGATAATATTTTTCTGACACTCACCAGTCCCACTTCTTTGAAAACTGTGGACTGGGATTATACTTCTGACAAGATGAACTAGCCCTAGAATAACTTTAGGTAAGAGATGTCTCTGCTGTTTACTCCCAACTATTTTGAGTATATAATTTAAGGGAGAAACACAGTTTAAAATAAGCTGCAAATAGACAGATGATCTTGTCATTTTTAGACTTTTCTTTAAAAGATACCCTGAAATGTTACTTTATAACTTGTTGCTCATCTTATAAGATTTGGCCTTGAATCACTGTTGGTTGTATTAAACCAAATCCACTGATAAAATATTTCTATCAATAAAGAAATTCAAAAGGTCATGCTATAATTTCTAAAAGACTTTGCCAACAATAATTTCCAAAAAATATTGTTAACAGCAGTATCACTGGTAGAAGTGTTTAGTATTCTAAGAAAATATCTTAGACGAGAGAACATCACTTGTTTCGGTAAAATTTTTTTTTGTTGGTTAAGCATGAATCATAAGATAAATAAGAAAATAGAGGACTTAACAAAACAAACCAACTAGATTTAACAGGCATATGTAGAACACTCTAACAACAACAGCATACACATTCTTCCCATTTTCCAGGATAGGCCATATCCTATTAAGTAAGTTTCAATGCATAGTGAGAGATAAAGATCATATAAAGTATCTTCTCTGGCCGTAATGGGATGAAGTTATAAATCAATAACAGAAGTAAAACTGGAAAATCACAAATGTATGGAAATTAAATAACACAATACACTCTTAAACAACAAAGGAAATTAGAAAATACATGGAACCAAGTGAAAATAAAAAGACAGTGTACCAAAACACATGAGTTGCAGCAGAAGTAGTGCTGGGGTAAAGTTTACAGCTGTAAATGCTTAAATTAAAAAATAATAAACTAAATCCAAAGCTAGAAGGAAGGAAATAACAAAGACTAGAGCAGAGATAAATAGAGAATAGGAAAATGGAGAATGTCAATGAAACCCAAAGCTAGTTCTTTGAAAAGATAAACCAAATTGGCAAACCTTTGGCTTGATGAACTAAGAAAAATAGAAGACTCAAATTACTGAAGTGAGAAATTAAAATGGGGATACCATTCCTGATTTAAAGAAATAAGAAGGATTACAACAGAGTACTAGAAACAACTGTACATCAACAAATCGGATAACAAAGATAAAATGGACACATTCCTACAAACATACTACCAACCAAGACTAAATCACAATAGAAAATCTGAATAGAACTGCAACTATTTAGGAGATTTGATCACTAATCAAAAATTCCCCAACAAGTAAAAGTCCAGGACCTCATGGGTTTGTAGGTGAATTCTACCAAACATTAAAAAAATTAGTACCAGTTCTTTTTAAAATCTTTCAAAAAACTGAAGAGGAGGGAACACTTCCTAACTCATTCTATGAGGCCAGCATTTTCCTATTACCAAAGTCAGACATAGACACTATAAAAAAAGAGAGCTACAGACCAATATCTCCTATAAATATTTATGCCAAAATCCACAATAAAATACTAGCAAACCAAATTCAGCAGCATATATTATATTAAGGCCAAGTGAGATTTATTCCTGGAAGGTAAAAATGATTTGACGTACAAAAATTAATCAATGTAATCCACCAGACTAATAAAGTGAAGAAAAACCACCACGTCATCAATTGATGCAGAAAAAGCATTTGACAAAATTCAACACCCTTTCAGTAGAAATACTCAACAAACTAGGAATCAAAGGAAATTATCTCAACATAATAAAAGTCATATATGAAAAAGCCACAGCAAACACAATGCCCAATGGTGAGACTTTTCCTCTAAGATCAGGAAAAAGACAAGGATGCCCACTTTCAACACTTCTACTCTAATAGTACTTGAAAGTTTTAGTCAGAGCAATTAGGCAAGAAAAAGAAATAGAAGGATTCTGAACTGGAAAAAAAAGAAGTAAAATTTTATTGTTTGCAGATGATAAAGTCTTATGCATATAAAACCCTAAGATTTTGCAAATATAACTTTTCAGTTTTTAGCTAAAATCAAGTGTAAAGATTCTACAGAAACACGTACAAAAAAACCAAAACACCTTTTAGAGCAAATACACGAATTTAGCAAAATAACACAAAAAATCAGTTGTGTTTCCATAAAATAACAATGAACAATCTGAAAAAGAAATTACAAAAAGCATTCAATTTATAATAGTACAAAAAATAAAATCCTTCAAAATTAACTGAGCCAAGGAGATAAAAGACTTCTATAGTAAAAACAATTAAGCACTGCAAAAGAAATTAAAGACTTTAAATATATAGAAACGCAGCCCGTGTTCACGTACTAGAAGAACTATAACATTGTTAAGAAGTCAGTACAACCCAATGTGTTTTACAGATTCAATGCAATCTCTATTAAAAATTCTAGTGATTTTTTTTAGAACAGAAAACTCATCTAAAACTCATATGTAATCTTAAAGGAGTCCAAATAGCCAAAACAATTTTGAAAAAGGAGAATAAAGGGGAAGACGCATACTTTTTGATTTCAAAACTTACTATAAGGCTACAGTAATCAAAATAGTGTGGTACTAGCATATATACAGTGATATAAATCAACAGAATAGAATAGGGAACCCAGAAATAAACCCTTGCGATATACAGTCAAATAATGTTGACAAGATTTCAAGACGATTTAATGGAGAAAGGACAGTCTTTTCAACAAATGGTGCTGGGAAACCTGGATATTCACATGCAAATGGTTGAAGTTGGACCCTTTTTAATACCACTACAAAAAATCGACCCAAAATGGTAAAAGATTTAAATGTCAGATGTAACACTATAAAACTCTTAGAAGAAAACATCAGGCAAAAATTCACGATGTTAGATTTGGCAATGTTTTCTTGGATATGACACCAACAGAAGAGGTAAGTAACAAAAGGAAAAATAGGCAATTTGCCTCTGACTTCATAAAATTTAAAAACATTGTACATCAAAATAAAGTACCAACAAAGTAAAAAGATAACCCATACTATAGAATAAAGGGTTTGTAAGTTATATAGCTGATAAAATATTAATATGCACAATACATAGTGAACTCCTAAACTCAACATCAAATACAAACAGCCTAATTCAAAAGCAGAAAAAGGACATGAATAGACACTTCTCCAAAGAGGATATACAATGGCCAATAAGTACAAGAAAAGAGTTCAACATCCCTAATTATTAGAAAAGTGAAAATCAAAACTACAATGAGCTACCACCTCATACTTATCAGGATGGCTGCTATTGAAAAGAGGAACACTAAAAACAAAACAACAAGTGTTGGCAGGGTTGTAGAGAAATAGGAACCCTTGTGCACTGCTTGTGGGAATGTAAAATAGTACAACTGCTATGAAAAACAGTATGGTAGAGCCTCAAGCAATTAAAAATAGAATTACCATATGATCTAGCAATTCCATTTCTGAGTATTACACTCTCAAACCTTAAAAGCAGGTATGAGGTACAATATACAATGAAATATTATTCAGCCTTTAAAAAGAAGGAAATTCTGAGGGCATTGTTGCATGCTTTAACACAGATTAATCTTCAGGCCCTTATGCTAAGTGAAATAAGCCAGTTGCAAAAAGGTAAATATTATATCATTTCACTAATATGTGATGTATAGAGTAGTCAAAATCATAGAGATGGAAATTAGTGTGGTGGCTGCCAGGGACAGGGAGGGAGGAGAATGGGCAGGTGTCATTTAATGGGTATAGAATTTCAGCTTTACAAGATTAAAAGAGTTCTAGAGATGTACGGTTCGATGGCTGCGCAACATTACAAGTGTGTTTAATGACATTGAGTTGTATACTTTAAAATGATTAAGAAAATAAATTTTATGTCATGTGAATTATACCATAATTAAAAATGGAAAAAAATGATATCTATGTAGGACTTATGTAAATACCACTTCTATACTTTGTTATATTTCAAAACTTCCTGGGTGCTCTTAAGACTAAGGAAATTTCAAAAATATTGTAAAAATATATTAAAGAACTCAAATCCTAAGGAGAGCACTCTTATTGTTTTGTTGTTTTTCAAGAATTTTATTTTATTGAACGTCTCTTGAAATGAGAGGGCTATACTCATTTTTTTCTTTGAAGCATAAGCTGTTCATCTTACATTGTAATTATTATAAGATAATGTGGCTCAAAATAAAAATAATTAAGTGGGGAAGATACATAATTAGAGAAATATATTTGAACAATATTGTAATAATTTCAAAAATGAGTTAAAACATATTTTTCAATGATGAATCTTCACATACTTGTCCATTCTTGTGTGCAATACAATAAATAATGGCATAAACTGTGTCAAAAACATATTTTATTAGTTAGGGTACAGACAAAGCTGTGACAATAAAGAAACACCAAAATGCAGCAGCTTAAATAAAACAGAAATGAGCATTCCAGTGTTGGTCATGTGACACTGTTATCCCCTGTGGCTTCCATCTCTGGGTGTAAGTCCTTGTCATCTCCCAGCTTGCAATAACAGGGAAGGACCCTGAGTGCTCACACGTTCTACTGCATTCTGTGAGTGGGCAAGGCCGGAGGATGGCATTGGCACCTTTGCTCACCTTCACTGGCCAGAACTCAGTCATACAACCATGCACAACCATAAAGAAGGCCATGAAACCCATTTTTAGCTGGGTGGTTACGTGTCTTGTTAAAACTCAGATAGGCGAGTCTATTATTAAAGTAATTGCTTTTGGAGGAAATCAAAAGAGACAATCCATGGAAAATTTCTTCCAGAAGAGGAGATAATTTCCAGGATGTTTCAGAACCTGAAAACTGTTTAGACATGCTATCTCCTTTAATGAACATCCCACCAGGGAGAAATGAGTGTCCTTATTCACAATGAAGTCATGGGCCATTTCTTTATTTTATTTTATAATATTCTTAGTGCCTACCATTCTTTCTGGCATATAGTAAGAACTTAAAATGATTTATTCACTGAATGAAAAAATGACTAGCTAAACGATGAAATTTAAAGGTAAAAAAATGATATTAACATATTAAGGGCTGGGTGTGGTGGCTCACACCTGTAATCCCACCACTTTGGGAGGCTGAGTCGGGCAGATCACCTGAGGTCAGGGGTTCTAGACCAACCTGGTGAAACCCCGTCTCTACTAAAAACACAAAAATTAGCTGGTCATGGTGGCGAGTGCCTCCAATCCCAGCTACTCAGGAGGTTGAGGCAGGAGAATCACTTGAACCCAGGAGGCGGAGATTGCAGTGAGCCAAGATCGCGCCACTGCACTCCAGCCTGGGCAGTAAGAGTGAAACCCTGTCTCAAAAAAAAAAACAATTAAGTATTTTTGTCAAAGAGCAAACAGCTTATAGCTGGTAGAATAAGGATTCAACCCAAATCTACTTGAAGTTTTTGTTGTAAGTGAATCTCCTGCAAGAACATTCCTGTGATAAAACAAACCACCGGCTTGAGAAGCTCTTCCTCTGTAAACGAGAACATAAAATCTGTAATGACTAGAGCTTTGTCAGCAAAGGATTTGTTGTATTTCTTTTGTGGAATGTGAAAGATATTCATGTTGGTCTCATAAATTTCCTGAGCAATCAACCACTGTTCTCTCAGCCTTTTTGATGTCACAGAAGTATGTAGTTGACTGATTCTCAAATTAATAATTCTAATAAGAAGGCTCATTTCTAGTGTGCTGCATTTTTGCTTATGACTAGAAATTGGAGGATTAACATGTGATTAATGGATGTTTTAACAGTGCTCAATGCTAGACACTCACACATTCCTCGTCTCTTCCTTTACCCAACAGCTATAACAATTTTTGGACAGATATCTTCAAAACCATTAAATTTGGTAATGAACTAACTGGGCTCCCATCTATGGGTTTAAGTATTTATGCTCACTCAGAAAATAAAAAGTTTGCTGCTTTTTTCTTTTTTTTTTTTTTCAGTGGGATGAAATCATAAAATGCTTTTACTTTTCTTTTATATATATATATATTACTGTACTTTAAGTTCTAGGGTACCTGTGCACAATAGCAAAGACTTGGAACCAACCCAAATGTCCGACAATGATAGACTGGATTAAGAAAATGTGGCACATATGCACCATGGAATACTATGCAGCCTTAAAAAGATGAGTTCATGTCCTTCGTAGGGACATGGATGAGGCTGGAAACCATCATTCTCAGTAAACTATTGCAAGGACAAAAAACCAAACATCTCACGTTCTCACTCATAGGTGGGAATTGAACAATGAAAACACTTAGACACAGGAAGGGGGACATCGCACACCAGGGCCTGTTGTGGGGTGGGAGGAGGGGGGAGGGATAGTATTAGGAGATATACCTAATGTAAATGACAAGTTAATGGGCGCAGTTTGCTGCTTTTTTCAAATCCTTAAAGATAGAATTCAGAGATAGTTTGCTGAATATTTAACATAGGAAAAAATTTCCATCAATGTGGAAAACATCGTGGTAAGGATCTATAGAAAGCCATTTTGCTTTCCATGTTACGTATCTGTGTATGTATGTGTGCATGTGTGCACATGTGCACATGTACATTTGTGGGATGGTTAGGACACCTTTACAAGCCCCAAGATGATGTCTAATGTTCATAAATTTCAAGTTTATGAAATAATGTATGTGGAAAGCCAGGGGATAAATAAGAATCTGGAAAATAGAGATGTTATGACTTCATTTATACATGTATGAAAAAGAGAAGGTAGGAGTCAATTGGAACAGATATAAAATTATTTTTCCCCCGAGTCACCATCCCCATTTACCCATTTATTTTTATTTTCATTAAGTTTCCACTTAATGGTCGATGAAGGTTGTAATTTTTGAATTCTGTGAGTCATTTTGCATTTTGTACTATGGTGAATATAGTGCCAGAAACTCACAGTGTTCTCTCTCTGATCATACTTCATTTCTTTCTCATGAGAAAATCCATAAAAATTTGCTGGGCCAATGTTATGGTAGAATTAGACTACATTTCCCAGTTGACTTTGCAGCTATGTTTCCCTGAAAAAAACAGGGGCAATTTCCTGCTAATTATGAAAAAAGAAAAAAAAATAGAAATATTAAGTTCTTTTATATACTTTACCTATTTAATCTTTGTAACAACCTCAAGAAATCTTATTTCCATCCCTAATTTGACGGTGTGGAAATTGAGGACTGGAGAGAGTCTATTATGTGTCAATGATCTCCCAGATAATAAAAAGAAGGACCAGATACTAGGTTACAATTTTTATTCCAAGTGTACGGCTCTTTCTATTCAACCATAATTGGCAATAGTGATTTCCTCTTTGGCACTTGATACATATTGATTGAATTGCTGATTTATGGCATTAAACTCCAAACACATTAATGCTCCAATAACTCTAATTAACTTAACAGACTTATCCAAGTAAATCTATTTTGTTGTTATTATAACGTTAATGATCTTGAACATTTATTATGATTTTTGCACCTCTGGTATGTATCTCATGGATAGTAATATTCAAACCTTAGTCTGCTCACTGACTCTCAGTGAAGCCAGGCAAAACACTGAAGACTCATACTTGGAAAGGAGGCAACTTGTTTTCAGAGAGACTAAATCATTCTACTTAAAAGTTGTGGTACAAGTCACTACTACTCAATTCAATATATTTGAAAAACCTAAAACAAATCGTACACATTCTGTCAATACTATGGGAGACTCTGGAGAGCTGAGGTAGGGAATTTATCTGGGAAGAAAACATATAGAAATGGCAGTGGACAAAGAAGCCTGTGGGAGAAGTTCAAAGCGACCATATGTGTGTGTAAATGTCTATGCCGGTGAGGAAGAGAGAGGGCCACGGGAGAGAATGGAGAGTTATAAAAGAACGCAGCTCCCACATGAGCACATTCACTGACCACTCTGTCCCTTGCATACCTTTATTCTTCTGAGTATGACTGTAAGAATATATTATCTTTTATCACAAACTTTCAAAAAGCTGGTTAGAACTTTCATTTTTGGAAACTAGTTAATATTGTGCTTGCTTTAATTTTAAACTTCTGTAATTTTAGAGAAAAGAAAATCTCTGAAGAATTTTTCAGATGCTAAATGCCAGTGAAGAAATGACAGACAGGAGAAAATTGCTATAGAATTTCAGCAGAATTGGCTCCACTTGCTAGATATTTTTCAAAGCTGTATTTGCCTTTCAAGAGAGAGCATGTGAAAGGTACGTCACCTAATGTAACACAGCCCAGTGGGTAAGGAATGCTTTTGAGTCAGGCTGTTTGAGTCCTGGTTCTATCACTTAACTAGCTAAGGGATTTGGTACAAGTCCCTTAAACCTTCTAAGCCTCAGTTTAACTTGAAGTAATTGGTGTTAATGCATTGTAAGATGGCGTCAATCAGAACACCCTCCTTTTAGGTACATTGTGAGGAGCAAAGGAGACAGAGCATAGACAATACATAGAGTTGGCACAGAGTAAATGTTCAATAAGTGTTATTCATTACCATTATTATGGGCCATGCAAGCCTTCCATTGTTCATAATGCATGTATTAAGTGTGTTTCCTAGGTGTAGATAATACAGCAGCGTAAGTAATAATATCTACTTCTTTTAGTGAACACTATTTGTAAGGCGGTGGAAGGGTCCCTTCTTGTTTTCTCCTCAATGTCTAATAATAAAATATAACTCACAGAAAACAAAAGTATAGTCTTCACATTAAAAAGCAGTTTAAAATGTTGATGATGATAGCCTATTCAGAAAAGAAGAAAAAAAAATACCTTAAGCCAGATTTTGCTTCCTGAAGGTACAAGATACTTGCTTTAAAAATAACTTCATCCTCCACCCCACACTGACAAGATCTGTTTTCTCTTCCTACACTTTTTCTTGTGAAGGCCATGAGTGGCCATTATGTTCCTTCGACAGATGGAGGAAAGCAGGACACAGCGTTTAAGTAACTTGACCAACAACAGAAAAATCACTGCAATGCATGCACTTGCATTCTGAAACTTTAAAGCACTTCCGGCTCCCATTCAGATAAGTGAAAAATGTACCAAAAGAAAAAATGGACACATAACTCTATTATTACCCAGAGTTGCAAACATTTGTCACTCATTACCAAATATTCTTTAAATAAATTTTATTTGACAAAATATTTATCCATGCTTTTGATTTCTGTATGTGATTCAACAGAGGCACAAGTCCTACAGTTGTGATCAAAATAATCGTCCCCAAAGTTTTACTGCAAGTTCAAATAATAAAAGATGGTATGGCAATAATGTAAGAGACTTGAGAAAATAGAAAGTAACAGTTGAGAATTTAATTATTATTGTATCATTACCATCATGAAGTAACATATTAGAAAAAGATAATGATAAGAAGAGGGCCAAATATAAAAGAAAATAATCACCTTTCTGCCCCATTTCTTCAAGCTTTCCATAAGTACTGTTTTGTCCAATACTTTTATAGAATTCCCTAATGTCTGCTCAGAAATGATTGTTGTGCAAGCCTTGCGAACTAGATTATCATAAAGAAAAATCATCTACTTTTACTCTTGTGTTTAAAATTCCAGGCTCTACATTTAAAAAAAATACATAATTTCTTTGCTGTAAATATGCTTTTCTCTTAACAAGAAAAAATTATGCAGTATTCATTGTATTCCATTCACATTTATTTTCTGCTTCTTTCTGGAAAGCAAAAACCTTGCCACATTACAAAAAAGGTAGATAGGATGAATTTGAAATTGGTATTGTTTCTAATTTGTATCTGCTGTACACTAACATAAGAGATGTGTTTGACTGGCCAACAATTGACTGACACAGTTCTTTCGGATAGCTGAGGTAATATTCCCTTTGACTAAAAAGGTAAAACCATCTTATTCATCCAACTTCACTGCCTAGAGTCTTCTAATGTGATCATTCCCTGTCACTCTAATGCTTTCTTTCTCCAATAGTGTTGTGTTAAATTATTTCTCAAGTTTTCATTAAAAATATATTTGTTAGTTATGCTGCTTTATTAAGTAGGAAATGCTGGTTCAGAAATTAAAAAACAATGTTTAGGAGATTGGGGGGGAAAGTCCAACAACTACGGTTTTGTATTGATTTTCTAGAGCTGCCATAACAAATACACAAACTTAAACAACAAAAATCGTTTCTTCACAGTTCTGAAGTCCAAACGTCCAAAACTGAGGTGTCAGCAGGGCCGCACGGTCCCTGAAGGCCTATGAGAGGATCCTTTTTTGCCTTTTCTGGATCCTAATTCCTTGTCACTGTATCATTCCCATCTCTGTGTCTGTGTTCACATGACCTTCTCCTCTTGTATCTCTCCACCATGTGCCTCTTATATGGACACATCATGGGATTTAGGGCCCACCTGATTAATAAGGATGATCTCATCTAGACTTCCTTAACTTATTGACATCTGCTAAGACCCCTTTTCCATCTAAGGTCACAGTCACAGGTTCTGGAGGTTAGAACATGCACATACCGTCTTAGAGGCTCCCCTTCAAACCAGTACACCTTTTAAAGAAGCATCTCAGAAATAAAAAATTTCTAAAATGTCACTTCTCTGCTAATTATGAAGGAGGCTATGTTGACTTTCCCCTAAATGCTTGTAGAAGAAAATGATCCCTTATGTCATAACACTATGACTTTTCAGTAATATTCTATGCTATCGGCACAAAGATTTAACCTGTCCTAATGAAAGACATGACAAATGACATAATGACGTGTAAGGGTGTAAAGGCCTGCTTTATTGTAGTTCTGTTTGCACTTCTCATTTATACAAGTTAATTTACAATGGAGCTTTAGACATACAAGCTTCTATTTTTTAAATGATTTATAGCATGCTATTTATGAACTGTATGGCCACTTTTTTTTCTCATTTCAATGAGACAGTAAATGCCTAGTTTAGGGAAATGTCATTCCTATTGAATGAACAAAATTTGAGACAACATATAATATTTCTAAGTATGATTAAAAGACTTTTCTAAGAATTGGGCTGTATATACCCACTCACCTCTCTCAAATGATTATGCTAACTAAATAAAATATGTAAATAACTCACATATGAATAATCTATCTGATTAACTGATAATGTTTCAGAATAGACATTGCTAGAAGTAATCAACTCTATTCTATTGCTGTCTTTAACTTGCCAAATATATCTGTACCAGTCACATGACTAGTATATATAAGATATACAGTATCTTATTTTCCACATTTGTCTAACAAAGTACTGATTAAAACACACAAACACACAATACCTAATAAACAAAAAATTCTTACAGAAACTATCTTATAAAGTGATTTGCCACTTTTAAAGGTTAATTTCTTTAAATTATGAACTATATAAATATTAATTATATATAAATCTTAACTATCTGGCCCAAATCTTGCTCTTCTCCCAGCACCCTCAAAACAATTTAAATGCCCGGACATGACTAGTCCTAAGAAGGGAACAGGATTCATATCATTCTGAGCCACACAGATACAGGAAATGATATTATGCAGAAGAAGATGGGATACAAGCCTCGAAGATGGATAAGTCAGGGGTCACTGAAATGGGTACTGAGTCAGGGTTCTCCAAAGTAAGAGCATCAGAAATTAGGCTCTGGATGTCATTATAAAACTAGAAGGGGCTTCTCCTTGAGGAATTCTGGATTTAAAGAAAGAGACCAAGAGGTAGGGCAGAACTTCCTAGGGCTAACTAGGATTAATTAAATAATAACAGATTAATCATCTTTCCTTTTCATGGCTCATTCTTTAGAGCAGACATTGTGAAGAGGGGAAGAGGCATTTAACAATAATTATTCACATTTTTTCAGAAAATAATGAGTAACTAATATCTCCTATTAATAAACTGCATCTTAGAAAGGCTTAGTCTATTCAAATACAACTACAATGTAGCTGCAGCTTCTCTTTTAACTCTGGATTCTTGTTTTACCAGGAGTTTTAACAGTGGAGAATATTTTTTTCTCATAAAAATAGATATGTGAAAAATGAGAAGAGAAGGCTAAAACAAACAAAAAAGCATAAGAAAGATAATAAAGGGTAGGTGACAGGTAAGTCTAACTAGCTTAATTAATGACTTGCACGCAAGTCCCCAGTATTTGTGATTCAGTACTGCAGCAAAATGGCTGTTAAATATACAGCATGGACTCTTGGAATAATTTGGTAAGAGAAAAATCCAAGAATATCATGGGTCACAATTTTTGAACCTCCAAAACCTGCACTCAAGTTATCTCTCTATTTATAACTCCTGCAACTCTCTTATATGAACTTGCATTCATGGTTCAATTAGTTTGTTCACTGAACCTTGAGCCTCTTTTGCTTTTCCTTGACTCTGCAGTCTTATACACAGTACATAACATATCGTCCCATGAGGATGAATCTTACTTTATCTTTAAGTCAAAATTCTCCACCCAACATTTCTAGGAAAAATCTTCTAACAACCTCATACCAAAGTAAACTTTCAAACTACTAATGCAATCACTGGTCTTATAGAAACTATGTGACCACACTTATTCTTTTCATGAAATAATCTTATATTTATTACATAGGTCTTTGGTAGCCTAGAATATGTTAGATAATATGTCTTATGGCTGGGTGTGGTGGCTCACGCCTGTAGTCCCATGACTTTGAGAGGCTGAGGTGGGCAGATCACGAGGTCAGGAGTTTGAGACCAGCCTGGCCAACATGGTGAAACCTCATCTTTACTAAAAATACAAAAATTTAGCCTGGTGTGGTGGCAGGCACCTGTAATCCCAGCTACTTGGGAGGCTGAGGCAGGAGAATCGGTTGAACCTGGAAGGCAGAGGTTGCAGTGAGCCGAGACCATGCCTGGGCAACAGAGCCAGACTCTGTCGCAAAAAAAAAAAAAAAAAAAAAAGAGAGAGAGAATATGTCTTACATTTCTTAGTATCCTCCACGTTCCTAAATATGGTTTCTTATGCTTAAAGTGACTCAATAAGCCATTTTATAAAATAATTTTGGTAAGAAATAATAAATCATTTGGTCTTTAAGCCTACTATCTATTACAAGAAATTTTTTTTGTAAGTAAACAACTGCCTGCCATATGGAAAATTTACTCATTTAGTGTTTTGATTAATGTCAACTAAATGATCAAGAACATTTGAAAAGAAAACTGTAACTCAGATAATAATGCATTATATTATACTGAATTCATCTACATTTATAAAATAAAAGCACCGAAACACACTAAACTGAATTTCAAAGCATTTATGAAAGCTAAAAAAACAAGATATATTTTTCTTTGGATTCATTAGATTCCATATTCTACTCACATTTAGAATATAGTAATTGGACAAACTATTGGCACACAGAAATAATAAACAACATAAATAAGAAGCATTTACAATCAAATTTGAGATAAAACTCCATTTTAGAGCCCACACATTAAAACTCTAGGAATAAAATTATATTCTCAGAAATTACTGTTATTAGCTTAAGAATAAGCAGGGATTCTCTGTGTGAATCGTGAAATTATAAAATAATATCAAGGTAAATGAATTTCCTTCTAGAATGGCTTATACAGCACACAATATGAATTTTCAATGAACTATTCTGATCCCGCAGTCTGAAATGCAGCTGAAGTCCGTGTTCACTATTGCTGCACTGTACATAAATGCTCTCAGTAAGATACTTTGGGAAAAAGCAGGGAATAAATCTACCCTCCTTTCTAATTTCATTTACCATTAAATGACTTCTTTCAGTGAGGTCTTTGTGATCAGGCTTTCTAAATTTTAGGTCAAACATCATTCTACATAATTCTTCTTAAACTGCTTCAAAAAATACAAAGCAGAATTTTGTTAACCAATACTTATGATGCACTTTGTTTCAAAATAATAAATGTTCTCTACATGGTACTTATTCATTTTTTATTCATGTATGTCAGCTATTCTTGAGTCGGCTAAAGTGCATTGATTTTTCCAATTTTAAATGTTTGCATTTCATAAACTTAAAACTTCTGTATTCCATGCATGAAGGGATTTTTTGATGGGGGGAGATGCTGAAGTTAACATTGTAATTTACATTGAATTCACTGAACTTAGAATGCACTCTGGGAGTTATAAAGGTTCATTTCTCCACAGGATAAAAGACCTATTTCTAAAAGCACTCAGGTTAAATTTACCCTCTAAAAATACAATATGACAGTTAGGATTCATTCTTGATGAGATTTGTGGCAGAAATCAGGAAATAGATATAATGCAGTTTGGCATTTTTGGTACCTTTAAAAAGCTAAAAGTTTTGGCATACTGAAATCATAAAATGATTGTTTAATCACTTATTAAAGAACTCCAACTTCTGGTCAAAATGGATTAATAGGGAGTGGATGTATCCCGCTTGCCTGGATCAACTTAAAAAGCAAACAGACAAAATATGTAAAACAGTAATTTTGAGACTTTGGATATGAAGAAGATCACTTCAGCGACTTCTAAGAGAAGAAAAATAAAGTGAGCACTTTGATTTCTTTATCTGATTATATGGAAAGTTTCCAGGCTGCAAAAGAGAAAAGAGCAACTCAGAAGGAGCCCAGCCTAGCAGTTTCCCTAAATTGAAGACACAAAGTTGAAAGTCTGATGTGACTTAAAGCAGCAAGAGTTTGATGGGGAAGAATACCACAGAGAACAGAAATTCTCAGGAGAGCTCTGGAGGTCTACAGATATTTTGTCCCTCTTAAGTCATCATCTGAGTACTTATCAGTGCATGTGTATGAGGACACTTCCCAAGGCTGAGGACAAAACCATTCAATAGTAACAAAGTTAAACATCTTTGGTGCTGAGTCAGGACTCCATCCGGCCAGATGGACAACCATGTAACTCATAGAAATTTGGGTACTCAGGTGGTATTGTCTCAGTAGTGGCACAAACTATCCCCAGTACTCTAGTAACATCTAATAGACTAAAAGCAAACCTAAAAGGTGTTGATGTATTTCAAAGTAACATAACTGCATGTTAGAACAAAATGCAAGAATATTTTAAAAACACGAACATCTCTAGCACCCAACAAAATAAAAACATAAAAACCAGAAAATACAACTCATAATGAAGAAAAAAACATAATAAATAGAAACAGACCTGGAAATGAGACAGATAAAATAATTTGTAGACATGAACAATGAAAGTGTTATTATGACTGTATTCTATATATTCAAGAAGGTAGAGGAGAGACTGAGTGGTACAGCATGTGCATAGCTCACACTGGAAATCCTAGCACTTTGGGAAGCTAAGGCAGCAGAATTGCTTGAGCCCAGGAATTTGAGGCTGCAGTGAGCCATGATCACACCACCGCACTCCAGCCTGGGTGACAGAGTGAGACCCTGTCTCAAAAAAATAAATAAGTGAATAAAATAAAATAAGGTATCTGTTTAATTGCAGTTCTGAGTTGAGAACAGTGATATTGGGAGAAAGAAAAACTATGTGAAGAAATAATAACTGAAAACTCCTAAATTTGATGAAGTATCTCAACAATTCCCAATCAGAAGAAGCATAATGAAAACTATACCAGTATATAAAAATAAAATTGTATAAAATCCATGACAAGGACATAATTCTTCAAAGCAGTGAGAAATAAAAATCATATTATGTGCAGAGGCAGTGGTACAAAAATAAGAACGAGTGCCAGGCAGGAGAAAGAAATAAAGGGTATTCAATTAGGAAAAGAGGAAGTCAAACTGTCCCTGTTCACAGATGACATGATTTTATAGTTAGAAAACCCCATTGTCTCAGCCCCAAATCTCCTTAAGCTGATAAGCAACTTCAGCAAAGTCTCAGGATACAAAATCAACGTGCAAAAATCGCGAGCATTCTTATACACTAATAACAGACAGAGAACCAAATCATGAGTGAACTCCCATTCACAATTGCTTCAAAGAGAATGAAATACCTAGGAATACAACTTACAAGGGATGTGAAGGACCTCTTCAAGGAGAACTACAAACCACTGCTCAGCAAAATAAAAGAGGACACAAACAAATGGAAGAACGTTCCATGCTCATGGATAGGAAGAATCAATATCCTGAAAATGGTCATACTGCCCAAGGTAATTTATAGATTCAATGCCATCTCCATCAAGCTACCAATGACTTTTTTCAAGAATTGGAAAAACCTACTTTAAGGTTCATATGGAACCAAAAAAGAGCCCGCATTGCCAAGTCAATCCTAAGCCAAAAGAACAAAGCTGGAAGCATCATGCTACCTGACTTCAAACTATACTACAAGCCTACAGTAACCAAAACAGCCTGGTACTGGTACCAAAACAGAGATATAGATCAATGGAACAGAACAGAGCCCTCAGAAATAATACCACACATCTACAACCATCTGATCTTAGACAAACCTGACAAAAACAAGAAATGGGGAAAGGATTCCCTATTTAATAAATGGTGCTGGGAAAACTGGCTAGCCATATGTAGAAAGCTGAAACCGGATCCCTTCCTTACACCTTATACAAAAATTAATTCAAGATGGATTAAAGACTTAAATATTAGACCTAAAACCATAAAAACCTAGAAGAAAACCTAGGCAATACCATTCAGGACATAGGCATGGGCAAGGACTTCATGTCTAAAACACCAAAAGTTTTAGTTAGAAAACCCCATTGGCAACAAAAGCCAAAATTGACAAATGGAATCTAATTAAACTAAAGAGCTTCTGCACAGCAAAAGAAACTACCATCAGAGTGAACAGGCAACCTACAGAATGGGAGAAAATTTTTGCAATCTACTCATCTGAAAAGGGCTAATATCCAGAATGTACAAAGAACTTAAATTTACAAGAAAAAAACAAAGAAGCCCATCAAAAAGTGGGCGAAGGATATGAACAGACACTTCTCAAAAGAAGACATTTATGCAGCCAACAGACACATGAAGAAATGCTCATCATCACTGGCCATCAGAGAAATGCAAATCAAAACCACAATGAGATACCATCTCACACCAGTTAGAATGGCGAGCATTAAAAAGTCAGGAAACAACAGATGCTGGAGAGGATGTGGAGAAATAGGAACACTTTTACACTGTTGGTGGGACTGTAAATGAGTTCAACCATTGTGGAAGACAGTGTGGCGATTCCTCAGGGATCTAGAACTAGAAATACCATTTGACTCAGCCATCCCATTACTGGGTATATACCCAAAGGATTATAAAGCATGCTGCTATAAAGACACATGCACACGTATGTTTATTATGGCACTATTCACAATAGCAAAGACTTGGAACCAACCCAAATGTCCATCAATGATAGAATGGATTAAGAAAATGTGGCACATATACACCATGGGATACTATGCAGCCATAAAAAAGGGTGAGTTCATGTCCTTTGTAGGGACATGGATGAAACTGGAAACCATCATTCTCAGCAAACTATCGCAAGGACAGAAAACCAAACACCGCATGTTCTCACTCATAGGTGGGAATTGAACAACGAGAACACTTGGACACAGGAAGGGGAACATCACACACCGGGGCCTGTCGTGAGGTCGGGGGAGGGATAGCATTAGGAGAGATACGTAATGTAAATGACAAGTTAATGGGTGCAGCACACCAACATGGCACATGTATACATATGTAACAAACCTGCACGTTGTGCACATGTACCCTAGAACTTAAAGTATAATAAAAATAAAAAAAAAGAACAAGTGCAATAGTTTTGTTGGAAACAAGGTAATATATGAAATAATGGTGGAACATCCTTAAAAATACAGAAAGAAAATAATTTATCAACCTAGAATTCTATGACCAGTGAAAATAAGTTTTAATAGCAAACTTAAAACTTTTTCACACATAACAAAGATGGAAAATTAATCACCAGCACAATGATGTTACAAGAAATATTTAACATTAAAGAAGTCCTTCAAGATGTAAAAAAAAATGACACCAGTTAAATATCTAAAATAACAAGAAGGACTGAAGAGCACCAAAATTGCTAACTGTGTAGTTAGACAATACGTTATTTTTTTAACCTTTAAAGGATATTTATTTATCTATTTTTGTCTTAGCTCAGGTTTTAATGAAATAGCTTTAGCATTTTCTTGTTGAATATAACGTTGGTGGGTTTTATAGTTTTTTTAAAAAAATAGAATTGGCTCCTATATTTTATCAAATACCTTTTTTTTTTTTTCCTCTCAAGTGGAGTTTCACTCTTGTTGCCCATGCTGGAGTGCAATGGCGTGATCTCGGCTTACTGCAACCTCTGCCTCTGGGTTCAAGTGATTCCTGCCTCAGCCTCCTGAGTAGCTGAGATTACAGGCATGTGTCACCACATCTGGCTAATTTTGTATTTTTAGTAGAAACGAGATTTCTCCATGTTGGTCAGGCCAGTCTCGAACTCACATATTATTTTCTCCACTCTAATAAAACTCTTTCAAACCACCCCACTTTAAATGTAATAACAACCATGTATTATTAAGTGGTATAGTATTTACTTAAGGTCAATAATGGTAAGGTCAAGATATATAATATAAATTTTAAAGCAACCACTGAAGAAGCAAAACAGTTATAGCTAATGAGTCCAGAAAGAGTGTAAGATGAATGATTAAAAATATTAAATAAAAATGCAGAAACTTAGAAAAAAATTCACACACACATACACATATACAAAGGTGGGACAACAGATGAAATACATAAAACATGAATAGCAGGATAGCAGTTATAAACTAAACCAGATCTATATTCACATTAAATGTAAATGGTCTAAACACTTTGATTAAAAGTCAGAGATTGACAGATTGGATATGATGAAAACTCCAAGTGTGTGCTGCCAACAAAAAACCCACTGTAATTATAAAAACACACATAGTTTTAAAGTAAAATAATGAATATATGTACCCATTATAGCATGATATGTATAATGCTAACAAAAGCCAAAAATGTATAGTCTGGAGTGGATGCACTAACATCAAAATAGATTTCAGAGTAAACAATAGTATCACTAGTGAAAAGGGATAGTTCATAAATGATAAAGTATTCATCAACAAGACATAACAATCCTAAATAATTATGCATCTGATAGAATTAAAAGGAAAAACACACAAATCAATTGTTTAATAAAGGAAAATGCCCAGATACAGCATTTGCTTTTCTGTCTCTTTCCTCCAAGTTGGCTATGAATCCAGCTCACAGAACAAATAATAAATACCTCTATGATTAAACTCTGGCACTTGTACTGAATCTATCACTTGTATTTAATCAGAAACTTTAGGCTGTGTCCTATGTAGCTGGATTATATTATTTTGTTGGTGAATTGAAGATATTTAATTTTGCTAAAATACCTTGTTTTTCCCTATAGAAAGAGGGATTTTCCTGCAATAGAGTGCTCTATCTGCAAGTTCTGATCAGATTTTGATTTGATACCAGGCTCCTTTCTTTATACTAATGAGTCAAGTCTTTACTGTTTATTACAATATTTATCTGATGGTGTTAAAGTAACATTTAACTTTGAAAAAATTTAACAAAATAGCTTGGGCTTTTCCTATTTACTTAGTTATTTCTCTGTCTTACCTAATTTTTAAAATTGGGATAATACCTGACATAGTGAGGGGGATGAAGAAATAGATTTGTTATTTCTGAAGTGCTTAGAAGAAACACAGCAAGTTGCTGTCTGTAAACACTGACGTGAGGAATTAAGAATGAGATCTAAGCTATTCTGACTCAGATAAAACATTTTCTTGAAAAACAGAGATGATGAAGAAAATTATTTTTATTCTTTGAATGCTTGAATTTAATGTTGGTAGAATGAATGACCTACATAATACTTCACCGGTTTGTTTTACAAATAACAACTCAGATTATAAAATACAAAATAAAATGTGAAAGTGTTATTTTAACAAAAGGAAAATGATGAAGACACCTCTATTTGGAGATTTCCAATGACACATATATTCCAATTATATATATATATATATACACACTATATATATATATATATATATATACACACTGTGTATATATATATATACACTGTATATATATATACACAGTGTGTATATATATATATATACACTGTATATATATATACTGTATATATATATACAGTATATATATATACTGTGTATATATATATACACTGTATATATATATACAGTGTATATATATATATATATATATATACTGTACTCAATGAGAAGATCTTTTCTTCTCCTGTTCAATGCTAATATACAATACTAGTATCTTTTGTAATGGAGTTTTTCCAAATAGCTTTAGAAAATTCACCAGGTATAAGACAATTCCTGTGCTTTGGACCTCAGGGAGTAGAAAGTAAGAAAACAGTTACAAATAGAATAGTATGTATTATTAATGAATCACCCTGTGGCTATCCTTAAAGACTTCTTGAAAACAGCTATAGGTTTAGAAGACACTCATCTCAAAAAAAAATCATAAAAGAGAAAATCCATTCTTCCTGATATACTCTGAGTAATGATCTCATGGAGTGACCTTTTCTTATCCCCGCTCACTTCTCTCTGAGCAAGTAGTACTCATGTTGAATGAATGTAATTCTGTCAGTCAAGATTTTCTAATCAGAATATTATAGTTAAAACTAGGAATTTCTGTTTTTGTCTTTCACATCAAACTGAGCATCACTGTGTGGTTTAGATTTTTAAATTAATACTAATTAAATTTTCATATTATTGCAATGACCACAATATAAAGTTTGACATTTACAGCTCTTGAATTACCAACTTTCCAACTTCTAGTGACTTTTTTCAAAATCTGTTAACCCTCTGATACCATGATACAGGGACTAAAAGCATCTTTTGTTTTCTATTTTTACTGAGCTATTACAAAGCCAGAGCTCAAAAAACTTTTCCAGTATTAAACATTATGGAGAGGCAAAAAATATGGATCTACACTCAGATTAAGAGTTCCACTTAATTCCATATTTATTTACTTTTTTGTATGCTTAGCTTATGTTTTTAAATTGCTAGTCTACTAAGACAATGTCTTCTAGTAAGCATCACTGAAAGGATGATAAGAATAAAAGGAAATTACAATTGAGTATTCATGGAAATAACCTATGTTATTTATGTACTATGGTTAAAATATTTCAGGAGTAACAGATGTAAAACCCTAAAAGTTTTAATTGTATAGTCTTCCTTTCTATGGCAATGCTAAATTCTAAGAACTTAATTCCCGATACATCTTTGTTAATCCACATCAATGGCGGTGAACGAGTTCGATTCATTTTCCTTAAGACATGATAGTTTTACATGGACTAATTAGAATTGGAAGAACATAAATCCTCACAGGAATATTTGCCATGTTTGTTTAATATCAGTTGGAAAAACAATGGCTGTGTCTGTATATTTATATATAATCTGTTTTTTTTCTGATTCTCATGAATTGTAAATGTATTTTATGTTACTTTTTATCTTTTCCATTGTTTAAGAAGTTGAACACTATACTTTATAAAATGATTATTTAACTGCCTAAGCCAAATTCAGTTTTTTAAAATTACTAGTCAGAAGTTCAACTTTAGTGAGAAGATTGCTTTAAAATTCTATTTTTGCAACTGACATGGTTTGGCTGTGTCCCCGCCCAAATCTCATCTTGACTTGTAACTCCCACAATTCCCACGTCATGGGAGGAACCTGGTTTGTGGTGATTGAATTAAGGGGGCAGGACTTTCCTGCATTGCTCTCGTGATAGTGAATGAGTCTCATGAGATTTGATGGTTTTAAAAAAGGGAGTTTCTATGCACAAGCTCTCTTTTGGCCTGCTGCCAGTCATGTAGGTTGTGATTTGCTCTTCCTTGCCTTCAGCTATGATTGTGAGGTTTCCCCAGCCACATGGAACTGTAAGTCCAATTAAACCCCTTTCTTTTGTAAATTGCCCAGTCTTGGGTATGTCTTACAAGCAGTGTGAAAATAGACTAACATAGTAAATTGGTACCAGGAGTTGGAGGTTGCTGAAAAGATACCTGAAAATGTGGGAAGTGACTTCGGAACTGGGTAACAGGCAGAGGTTGAAACAGTGTGGAGGGCTCAGAAGAAGATAGGACAATGTGGAAACGTTTGGAACTTCCTAGAGACTTGTTGAATGGCTTTGCCCAAAAGGCTGATAGCGATATGAACAATAAAGTCCAGGCTGAGGTGGTCTCAGATGGAAATGAGGAACTTGTTGGGAACTGGAGCAAAGGTGACTCTTGTTATATTTTGGCAAAGAGACTGGTGGCATCTGCCCCTGCCCTAGAGATCTGTGGAACTTTCAACTTGAGGGAGATGATTTGGGGTATCTAGCGGAATAAATTTCTCAGCAGCAAAGCATTCAAGAGGTGACTTTGGTGCCATTAAAGGCATCCAGTTTTATAAGGGAACCAAAGCATAAAAGTTTGCAAAATTTGCAGCCAGACAATGTGATAGCAAAGAAAATCCGATTTTTCTGAGGAGAAATTCAAACCAGCTGCAGAAAGTTGCATAAGTAACAAGGAGCCAAATATTAATCACCAACACAATGGAGAAAATGTCTCCAGGGCTGGTCAGAGGTCTTCAGTGCAGCCCCTCCCATGACAGGCCTGGATGCCTCAGAGGAAAAAGTGGTTCTGTGGGCTGGGCCCAGGGTCCCTGTGCTGTGTACAGCCTAGGGACTTGGTGCCTTGTGTTCCAGCCACTCCTGCCATGACTGAAAGGTGCCAATGTAGAGATAGGGCCATGGTTTCAGTGGGTGTAAGCCTCAAGTCTTGGCAGCTTCCATGTAGTGTTGAGCCTGCCAGTGCACAGAAGTCAAGAATTGGGGTTTGGGAACCTGGATGTCCAGGCAGAAGTTTCTGGCAGTGGAGAACCTCTGCTAGGGCAGTGCAGAAGGAAAATGTGGGATCAGAGCCCCCATACAGAGTCCCTACTGGGGCACTGCCTAGTGGAGCTATCAGAAGAGGGCCACTGTCCTCCAGACCCCAGAATGCTAGATCCACTGACAGCTTGTAGTGTGCATTTGGAAAAGCCACAGACACTCAATGCCAGCCTATAAAAGCAGCCAGGAGGGAGGCTGTGCCCTGCAAAACCACAGGAGTGGAGCTTCCCAAGAAGATGGGAACCCACGTCTTGCATCAGTGTGACCTGGATATGAGACATGGAGTCAAAGGAGATCATTTTGGAGCTTTAAGATTTGACTGTCCCTCTGGACTTTGGACTTTCATGGGGCCTATAGCCCTTTGTTTTGGCCAATTTCTCCCATTTGGAATGGCTGTATTTACCCGATGTCTGTCCCTGCATTGTATCTAGGAAATAATTAACTTGGTTTTGATTTTACAGGATCATAGGCGAAAGGGACTTCCTTCGTGTCAGATGAGACATTGGACTGTGGACTTTTGAGTTAATGCTGAAATAAGACTTTGGGGGACTGCTGGGAAGGCATGTTTGGTTTTGAAATGTGAGGACATATGATTTGGGAGGGGCCAGGGGCAGAATGATATGGTTTCGCTGTGTCCCCACCCAAATCTCATCTTGAATTGTAACTCCAACAATTCTCACATGTTGTAGGAGGAATCTAGTGGGAGGTGGCTGAATTATAGGAACAGGTCTTTCCTGCACTGTTCTTATGATAGTGAATGAGCCTCATGAGATCTCATGGTTTTTTAAAGGGGCGTTTCTCTGCACAAGCTCTCTTTTTGCCTGTTGCCCTCTATGTAAGATGTGACTTGCTTCTCCTTGCCTTCTGCCATAATTGTGATGCTTCCCCAGCCACATGGAACTGTAAGTCCAATTAAACCTCTTTCTTTTGTAAATTGCACAGTCTCAAGTATGTCTTTATTAGCAGCATGAAAACAGACTAATATAGCAACTAAGTTATATATTTCAGAGTCATTTTTAGTTCCTCTAACACATGTTGTTAGTAAATAAGTGCGATAGTGCCAAATGTAATTCAGATGTTAAATACACTGCCCAGGAAGTCATCTTATTTTTATCAAGAATGTTCACAATAACAGCTGCCCAAAAATATTTAAAATGGGACTGTGAGTTTCCAATTATTCTCTGATGGTGTAAGCTCTTTTTGGCTCATCCATCTCACTGATAACAGCCACTGGCTCTAAACAAGATACAAAACAATCCCCCCAAAAACCAAAATCCCAACTATATGAGGTCTGAGTATTTTACAAAACTAGGCGGATTTTGGAATTAAGTAAGATCTTGATGAAGCGACCAGCGTTGGAATTAGTTTTCTGTTTTGCTCCAAGAAAATTTTGCAGTATGGAAAGCACCCCAGTACTGTCAGCTGTCACTCCAGTAGAAACCCTCACCACTTTGTGCCAGAAGAATCACTGAAAGTAGTTTCAGGGGATGAGGGAAACAGTTTACAAAAAGTATACAAAAAGGAGTTCTGGAGATAGAGATGTTCTGATTCTGAGTTAAAACTTGCCTAAGTCTCAGCCTAAACACTAACAGCAGAGCAAAGCCTTGGGAAACTTAACCAAGATTTTAATTGCTGTGAAGAGAAAGCAAGATAGATCTCACAATCTGAATCTAACTGTTGATTGCCTTCTAAAACCAATATATCAAAAAATTTTCAAGGATTGTAATAAAACTCAGATTCTACAACTTAACATTGACAATGCCTAACATATAGTCTAAAATTATACAACATACCAAAAAAATGGTAAATATAGTCCATTCTCAAGTGAAAAAGCAAATAGATGCCCAACCCAAATGGTGCAGATGTTGAAATTATCAGAGAAACATGCTAAAGTAACTTTTATAACTATGCTCTCAGAGGTAAAGTATACTTGCAAGGAGTATAGAAAATCTCAACAGAGTAGTAGAAAATGTAGAAAAAAATGGAGATTGTAATATTAAAAAGAGGACAATGTTTTAAAATATAATGACCTTTACCATATGAGCCTAACAATGAGATAGAGGTAATGAAGGAATTTATCAGTAAGCATGATAATAGAACAGGATAAATCACTCAATATCAAGAAAAGAGTAAAAAGGTTAAAAAACGAAAGAAAACATCACAGTTGTGAGAATGTATAAGATAAAATTCAAATGTCTAAAATACATATAATTATAGTCTCAGAGGGAATGTGGTGAATAGTGGGGAAAAATATTTGAAGACAAAATGACCAAAATTGGTGAAATCATAAATTTACAGATTTAATAAGCATAAAACACACAGGCAAGATATAGTAAAAAATGACTATGCCTCTATATAATATAATCTAGCTGCTGGAAATCAAATATTTTAAAGAAGTCTTAAAAGCACCCAGCAAAAAAATAAAAAAGTATATATTACTACAGGTTAACAACATTTTGAATGTCATGTTGACACATGCCTGTTTTCCTAGCTACTTAGGAGGCTGAGGCAGCAGGATTACTTGAGCCTGGGAGGTCAAGGCTGCAGTGAGCCATGAGAGCTCCACTGTACTCCAACCTGGCCAACAGAACCACATGTCATCTCAGGAAAAAATAATAATAATAATAAAACTTAAAACAAAAAAATTCAAATAATCCAAAAGAAGTCAGGAAAGGGAAAACAGGGACACAAAAAAGCAATCTGACAAACAGTAAACAAAAATAAAATTCAACCATATGTATAATTACATTAAATTGCAATGGTCTAAAACTCTAATGGTTTTTCATCAAAAACCATAGAGTCAAGAATACAGAGAGACAACAACTTGAAAGAACTGGAGGAAAGAAAAAAAAAATCTGTCAATGCGGAATTCTATATCCAGTGAAAATATCCTTCAGAAAAAAAAAGTAGAATTAAGATATTTTCAGATAAAGCAAAACGAAGAAAAGTTGTTGCCACCTGACTGAACTACAAAGAAATGGTAAAGGAAGATTTTCAATCTAAAGGGAAATAACATTGGATAAGAACTTCATCTTCAGGTACAAATGAAAAGCATAAGAAATGTCATATATCTGGGTAAATAGAAAACATCATAGTTTCCCCTTATGTCTTAAAAAAAATCATGACTGCATAATACAATAAATATATAAGACTGTCTAATGGGATTTTCAATGCATGTACATGTAATACATATGACAATTACAACAAAAGGAATAGTCCATATGATAAAGAGACCTGTGCAGTTGCAGGTTTCTATGTTTTATATGATGTGCTACAATGTTAGCCTAAATAAAGTGGGAAAGATTAAATACATATATGGTATCTCCTAGAGCAATCACTAAGAGCAGGAATCAGTAAATTATAGTTGAGGGGCCACTGTTTTTGTATAGACCATGAGTTAATAATGGTTTTTATATATTTAAATAGTTGCTAAAATTAAAAAAGACAGAATTTTATAACATATAAAAGTTTATAATATATAAAAATTATATTAAATTATGGATTCTTGGGTCCACAAATAAAGTTTTATTAGGACACAGCTATGTTTATTTGTGTATGTATTGTCTTTGGCTGCTTTCATGCTCTAATAGCAGAGTTGAGGAGTGGTGACAGAGACTATTATATGGTCTGTGAAGCCTAAAGTATTTAGTCTCTGGTCCATTATAGAAAAAGTCAGCTGATCTCTTATAAGACATATTTCTTTTCTTTTCTTTCCTTTTTTTTTTTTTTCCAAGACAGAGTCTTGCTCTGTCACCCAGGCTGGAGTGCAAAGGCAAGATCTTGGCTCACTGCAACCTCACTGCAATATGCAATATAATCTTACTGCAATATGCAATATCAGACATATTGCTAAAGTGCTATTAATAACTCAAATTTAGGCTGGGTGTGGTGGTTCATACCTGCAGTCCCAGCACTTGAGAGGCTGAGGTGGATGGATCATGACATCAGGAGTTCAAGACCAGCATGGACAAGATTGTGCAACCCCGTCTCCACTAAAAATACAAAAATTAGCCAGGCACGATGGCGCACGCTTGTAATCCCAGCTACTTGGGAAGCTGAGGCAGGAGATTGCTTGAACCTGGGAGGCAGAGGTAGAAGTGAGCCAAGATCACACCACTGCACTCCAGCCTGGGCAACAAAGTGAGACTGTGGCTCAAAAAAAAAAAAAAAAAAAAGAAAAACGAAAAGAAAGAAAAGAAAACCAATAATAACAAGATAACTAGGAAAATCCCAAAATTTGAAAATTAAGTAACACCTTGCTAAATAACTTAGGGAGAATAACACATCACAGGAAAATTAGGAAATGCTTTGAACTAAATGGTAATAAAAATACAACATATCAAAATTTGTGGAATGCAAGTAAAATGATACCTAGAGGAACAACAATGGATGTATACATTATAAAGTTCATATGTCAATAAATTAGAAATAGAAGAGAAGACCAGAACTAAAATAAGTATCAGGAGGGAAGTAGTCAAGATAACAGTAGAAATGAAAGAAATAAAATAGATAGATAATAGAAAAGTTAGTAATGTCAAAGGCTCTTTCTTTGACAAGATCAACAAAATTAGTAAATCTCTGTCTAGATATCACAAAAAAAAGACAGGAACAAGAAAAGACCAATATGAGAAATGAAAAATCAGTTAATAACCATAGATAACAGATAAAGAAAACATTATGAATAACTGTGCCAACAAGAGACAAAATGAAATGGATGGATTTTATTAAAAATTTAACTTAGCAAAATCAATACAAGAAAGTTTGCAAATCAGACCTATATCTGTATAAAAAATTAAATCTATTATCAAAGCCTTCCTATAAAAAAAATCTCAGGTCCAGATGATTTCATTAGTGAAATCTATAAAATACTTAAGAAATAAATAAAATCCATTTTACACAAATTTTCTGTAACAGAAGGGGAGTAAATACTATCCAGCTCATTTTATGAGCCAATCTAACTGGAGTAAAAGAGAAACAGTATATAGACACTATAGGAAAAGAAAATTGTAGACAAATATATAACCTACTGAATATAGGCACAAAAAATCCTTAATAAGCATTAACAAATCAAATTAAACAACATAAGAAAAGGATAATACATGATGGCCACACAGGATTTATATAGGAAATTCAAGGTTGGTTACCCTTCAAAAATCAATCAATGTAATTCACCGTATTTTAAAAAAAGAAAAAAAAAGTTCATTTCAAAAGATAGAAAGTTATCTAATAAAATTCAACAAATATTCATGACCAGAATTTCTAGAAAACTAGAAAGAGTATAGCATTTCTTTAATCTCACAAAAGGCTTAAAGAGACCAGAGGTAATAACCTATTTCATGGTAAAGACTAAATTTTTTTCTCCTAAGATCAGACACAAAGGAAAGATACCTGCTTTCAGCACTTTTATCCAGTATTTTACTACAGATCCTAATCACTGAAATAAGGCAACAGAAAGAAATAAAAGGGACAGAGATCAGAAACTAAATATAAAACTTTCTGTTCACATAGATATGTTTGATTAAACAGAAAATTTTAGATAATCTAAAAAACTAATGGAATATATAGGTAAATTTAGCAGATATTAGGATACAAGGTTAGCATTAAAAAATCTCTTGTATTCTACACATTTATAAATACCACAATACATCTATATATACATTATATAATACATCTATAAATCCACTATAGTAAAAATTTATTTAAAATAAATTTTAAAAACAGTTCTATTTAAAATAATTCAAATATATATAATATACATATGTATATATATTTAGGAATATTCAAATATATATGCATAATTTAAACAGTCCTAAATATATGTTCATATATTCAAATATATATATCCAAATATATATGTATTTATATCCATATATATATATATATATTTGGGTATTTCTAATATATGTATATTCCTACATATACATATGTATTTAGGAATAAGTTTAACATAAACATTGAAGACCTTTACATTTGAAACTATAAAATATTACTGAGATAAATTAGAGAAATTATAAAGATATACTTTATTAAACAAATATTATACCTCAATAATGCTCTTTTAAAAATGCCAAAAAGTACACTTTTAATGTACACAATGTACTGTATATAAATAATATCTGAATAAAGATATAAAGATAGATAAATTGATAGATAAATAGATCAATTGGTAGGTAGATAGTGAGTTTTAAAAGTGGTTTGGTTTCAAATTAATTTTGGGTCTATATCATACTTCAAGTCTGGCACTAGGGCTCTTGAACTAAAAGGAGTAAAATGTCAATAGATTAATTATAAATATTTAATAGTCATTGATTAATGAAGCTCTATGCCTATAGCAGGCAAGTTGTTTGTTTGCTTTTAATTAGGTAATATTAGATATTACTCAAAATGTTCTTGTATTTCCAGTCCTGAAGCTGATCACAGTGTCTGGTGTCTAAACTGCAAATAAAATGCTGTTTAGAAGTCTTGCTCTCTCATGAAATAGATGAAGGGGTTTATTAGTCAATTATAAAACAAATAGCTTTTTTATAGTTTAATATACAACCATGATACTTGAAGTTATGGCTGACCCTATGCTTAAATGAATTAAACTTACTTTAATTCACTTTTAGTTGTATAACTGTCATACAGTCCTTAAAACATAAAATTTCATTTTCTTTATTATGTATATGTAATGACTAGAGAGCTTTGCCTTCCAAAAACTTTAAAAATTAAAAAAAGTTATAAATACCTTCTCAAAAAGTTACTATGGAAACTGATGTGTTGATTTTAATGCTCAATAGAATAAATAAAACAATTGGTGATTTATTTGCAGCATGAACGTGGACTTGAATAAATCCTTATCTTTATAAAGATTAGAGCTTAGGGTATGTCTCTCACACACACTTTGGCTAAATAGTGAAAACACATATTGGAAAAATAGCAGTTCATTTGCATAACCATGAGGATATTTAATGAACAACAACATGCTAATTACTGTATTTCATATTAACACATGAGACTATGTTAAAAGAGTATCAACTAGTAGAACTTACATACCTATCTATGTGTGTATGTAATTACTCTTTCCAGGTAAGTTGTAGAGTGCAAACTCATAATTATTACTGAGACAGGTTCATATCCCAATTTACCTTTAAAAATATTCCTAGCTCTTTAGAATATATTTTCCAGAGTTTTCTGTTTTTCTTGTTAAGCATTTGGGGAGATTTGCCAACGTTAATCTCCCAAATGCGTCAACTTGACTAAATTTGGAGACCTCTGGCAAGTTTTTTTTGGTAACGAAGAGAATCATTAGAAAAAGGATAGGGTCAACAATGCAGTTTCCCTCCTGACTTCCTTCTGAGTTTGCAGCACATTCTCATTGCCTGGGAGCCATTTACTGCCATGGGCACCTCCCTCCCTCTGTCTGTTGAGTGGCATCAAGATGAACTGTCAAAGATGGTGGATGCTGAATAATGGATAAGTGAGAGTCCCTTGACATAGGCTTGATAGCCATAAAATATGAGTTTTGTGATTGCCTTTACATTCAAACTCAGGAACTGATGGAAAGAATATTATTTCTAAACGCCAAGCTAAATAAATTGTGGAGATTTCCAGTAGGTGTTTCTCTTATTAGTGTTTGAAGCAATTATAGAGAGAATGGGTCAGTGCAATTTTCTTCCTTTACTGAGAAAATCTTTTCTTGCTACTGCATTTTAGCTATTCAAATTCAAATCAGGCTTCTCATCACAAATGTTCTGTTTGTGAGAGACACTGCAAATAAGTAGCAGATCCCCCCACCCCCTACACCCTGCCTGCCCAATCAAGCTGCATTTCCAGTGGGGTCATGTAATACGGTATTAAATCAACAGGTAGAATCAACTTACATTTTGCTTTATGAAAATTGTTTAACTTACTGGCATCCTGATATATTATATTTACTTTATTTCTCTGTGTTAATAATACAAACTCCTACAGCACTATGGGAAATCAGATCTAAAATGAATATGAACACTTTTACACACATTAGACCTCTCTGAATGAACACGTTTTCAATGAATTCAGAATATCACAACTGAAGTATTGTATTCAGTAAAAAATGAGGTTGAGTTGAGTACAATAAGAGAACCTAGATTGGTAGGGGCAGGGAAACATGCAGGATGGAGTTTTATCATTCTAATGTATTGTCTTGACTGAAAATTCCTTCTTTCATCTTCTTTTGCAGTCATAATGACACAGCCTTTAACATTCATATTTGGAATGTTAACGGTAAAGAAGGCACTATGACTAGATATTTCAAGGTTAAAGAAAAATTAACAGAACATTTTCCCAGTGACAACAACAAAGATGAAAAATGTGTTGACTTTCTTTTTATAGAAATTATTAGGATCAGAAGTTTCCATTGACCACTGGAAAAAGAAAAATGGCCCAACGCACTTTTTGTATCCTATAACCCATAAGCAAGGGCACACACCAGAGCAACTGCCATTACAGATCTCTCTAGATCAAATTCCTGAAATCCCAAATTCAAAGAAATGTATATGTGTGCCTGTGTGTGTGTGTATGTGTGTGTGTGTGTGTGTGTGTGTGTGTAGATAGACAGTTGCTTTCAGAGCTAATACATGCTGTAAGTTGAAACCATCATACCAGGGAACAGTTTTCCAAGAAATACAATAATTCAAAATAAATCATTAATTCCCCTTAATAGAATAAAAAAAATCACAGATACTCACCTAACCTCTCAATGGAATAATATCGCTGCTTGCTGTCCACACGCACTGTCTCAGCGTAAGGGCTCCCAACGCCATAACCGATAATATAACCTCGCACCACGATGTTTGGGTTCAAGGGAGGAGTCCAACTCATGATGATGCAGTTAGTCTGGGGCCTCACATGAAGAGAGCTTGGTTGATCAGGAACTTGAGATTCTAGCATTCAAAAAGAGGCATCATCAGCATGTCTCATAACAGAAAATGTAGCACGGCAGAACACCATTTAAGCAAGAGAAATCATATTTCATAGATGCATAAATAATGCATCACCTATTGCCCAAGTCACTCTTTATTTTAGCATATGATATATTTTCTATGTTTGATTTGACTTTCACAAAATTTCTTAAGCATACAAGAATACCGAGTTCTTTCCATGGGCATGGTAGGTAGCATCAATGCATCTTTATTCCAATAGCGTCTTACTTGGGCTTTTTTTCTTTTTACATATCTCTTCTTAGGTATCATTAATGAAGGGTGAAAACCAAGGCAGATGTAAGAATAATAGACTGGAAAATAAAATGTCAATGTTGTCTTATCCAATAATTATTTACTCTGATTTAGCTAAAAACAATAACAAACTAACCAGTCCTTTCTTATGTAATTGTCAGGAGAAACAGTTAAGGGCCATGATCTGTCCAGCATGATTAGGATGGTACTTGATTCATGGTTTATTAAATCAGTGAAAAATGCATTTATTATTAAAAGAAAGAAGACAGTGGCCTGGATTAAAGCCTCACAACCTTTGGACCTGTGCAAATTTGGTTTAATGCCACGTTCTGTCATTTACCAGCTCTGTGTCCTCATGAAATTATTTCACTTCTCTGAGTTTCCCTTCTGATTAAGTTGGCATTCCAAATATTGATTGACTCAAAGCTTGAGCTCGGGAAGTAAGAAAGAGCAGAGTTCAAACTTGTATTGTATACTCACTGTCTGTGAGATTTTGAGATATCATTTATCCTCTCTAAGCCTCAGTTCCCTACCTGTAGAATGAAGGTATGGTGTTGAAAAGATTTAATGAGATAATTCATGCAAACTTACCCATTATGAGTAGCAAATAAATTCTCAAATATTGCTAGATATTAAAAAGAGAATGTGCATGCCACCCTGACATATATTTTCTTTTAAAGGGATTGTGTGTTGAAAATTAATATGTTTTAATAATAAATTGTTCTGATTTTTATGTTGTCATTCTTCGCTGTTTCCTAGTCTTAAAAAAATATTTTTTTCTGGACACTGATCATTATTCAATTAATATTTATTTATTTGTTGAGACGGAGTCTCACTCTGTCGCCCAGGCTAGAGTGCAGTGGCACGATCTCGGCTCACTGCAACCTCCGCCTCCTGGGTTCAAGCAATTCTCTGCCTCAGCCTCCCAAGTGGCTGAGATTACAGGTGCCTGCCACCACATTTGGCTAATTTTTGTATTTTTAGTAGAGACGGGGTTTCACCATCTTGGCCAGGATTATCTTGAACTTCTGACCTCGTGATCCACCTGCCTTGGCCTCCCAAAGTTCTGGGATTACAGGCTTGAGCCATCGTGCCCAGCCAATTAATAAATATTTATACAACAACTATTATGTTTGAGGTGTGAGCCTAGGTGCCTGTAATGTTCAGGATACAGGAAGAACAAATATGGCAGACATTAAACCTGCACTATTGGAGTTTATAGTCTAATGAGAAACAGGCAAGTAAAAAGGCAGCTACGATAGATTATGGTAAATATTTTGATTGGCTAAATACAAGCACATGTAACCTATTCTTTGAAAATCAGGGAAGTATTATGCAAAGATATGTAAGAAAGAATGTGCCCATCCAAACTTCAATAAGTGCTTAACACAGTTCTTGGCAATTAATAAGTACTCAAAAATATCAGTGATTTGAATTTTATTAAAGTGATTCTGTTCATTATTTATGTTCCAGAAATGTCTGTGTCCAGTGATTTAGAAAATCTCTGAAGGTAACATATGCCAAATTATGCAAGGAAATCTGATGACTAGAGGTAATATTACATTTTTCTCCTTAATGTAGTACCAAAAACTGGCACAGCCCCCTCCACTTTTATCCATATGCAGCATTCCCACTTCTAGCTTAAGTGATAGATAGAAGCATGTTCTTATTAAAGTTTTCAAAATAGGTAACATTTTCAAAAGATTCTAAAGCTTTTCAAAAGATTCTAAAGTTGCCACATCGACAGAATTTTCTAAAGATGCTTTTTTTTCCCCCAAAGATGGCCCTTTGTGGGCAAAAAGGGAAAGCTATTATTAGTCTGCCCTAAAAAAGCCTATGATATAATATGCAAAGACATCATAAAAAAATTATGTCTCAAAACGTGGATATAAGCCTTAACAGCAGAAACACAATGTTTGTGAAATATTTCCTAATATAAACTCTAAGTAAAAGTAATAAAAGAGATGAAAAGGATGGATTAATAGTTTTCAACCCTACTGCCACAGTCTCACCAGTGCCCTTGAAATGTAATGGACTCTCAGTCAGTTCTGTTTAGCATATTTGAAGTGTTTGCACTAACTATTAAAACAACAAGATAATCTGCCTAATCGTACACTAAGAAAATAAACTAGATCTTCTGCATTTATGACTTTTTAAAAGCAATATGAAATCATAATGATTTTAATGACAATATTTAACATCTTTTAGAATAAAAGGAAAAACTGTTCAACTGTTAAAAATGTTTTCAGAACAGTAACTATTTCTTAATATTTCTGCAAACCATAGAATAGTTCTCTTGCAAATTGGTTAAGTTAGTAACTACACAATTTTATTCATCGGAGCTTTAAACATATCATTGTAATGTGTACACCAACTGGCTCTTGAAGAACGTAAGACTCCACTTTATCCTTCACTGCATGAAAATGTTTCAATCCTAGAGGCAAGCCTCAAAATAATTTTTAACATTAGAAAAAAAATGTTAGTACGTAAGAAGATATGTTGCCTCTTCATCTAAATCCTAATTAGTTTTGTGTGTTTGAGAGAGAGAGACAAGATCTTGTTCTATCTCCCAGGCTGGATTGCAGTGGTGAGATCAAAGCTCATTGCAGCCTCTAACCCTCTGACTCAAGCCAACCTCCCACCTCAACCTCCCTAGTAGCTGGGACTACAGGCATGTGCCACCACGCCCAGCTAATGTATTTATCTATCTACTTATTTTATTTTTATGTTTTTGTAGAGACAGAGTTTTGCTATGTTGTTCAGGCTGGTCTTGAACTCCTGGACTCAAGCAGTCCACCTGCCTTGGCCTCCTAAAGTGTTGGAATTATCGATGTGAGTCTACATGCCCAGCCTTAATGACCCTTTATCACCAAATTAAGCTCACAGGACCAAAAGGACAGTTCCTTCAAGGTAGTATTAGACCTAAGCCATTCATAATATATGGCCTCATCATCATGATAACTACGCCAGGAGATTGTTCATAATCCATGATAGCCAATTTATGCCCACTCACTTCTTAATACAAAGGCAGAAATAACAATTTTCCTTTTATGCTACCTGAGTGATTTTTCTCTAACATAGATGACCTTATGGATTAGGAAAGTGGTTACTACTGGAATGAACTATAAAACATCAATTTAGAAAATTTGCTGTGGAAGATATATAATATGACTATTACTTGCTTGGAGTCTGCAACTGAAATTTGCTGCTCAGAAGTACATGAAACATTTTACAAGTATCTCTAAGATGCTGCTTGCACATATGAAGCACAGAGGAATAGTAGAGTAGTTATTGAGTTAATTTGAAACCAAAGAGCACATTTTGCCTGAAATATTTAAATTAATGAAGCCTGATATGGTTTGGTTGTGTTCCCACCCAAATCTCATCTTGAATTGTAGGTGTCACAATTCCTACGTGTTGTGGGAGGTACCCGTTGGGAGGTAATTAACTCACAGGGGCGGTCTTTCCTGTGCTATTATCGTGATAATGAGTAAGTCTCTTGAGATCTGATGGTTTTATAAAGGGGACTTTCCCTGCACAAGTTCTCTTCTCTTGTCTGCCGCCATGTGAGATGTGCCTTTCACCTTCTGCCGTGATTGTGAGACCTCCCCAGCTATGTGGAGCTGTGAGTCCATTAAACCTCTTGCTTCTGTAAATTGCCCTGTCTCGGGTATGTCTTTATCAGCAGCATGAAAACAGACTAATACAAGGCCCCAAATTTTTACTAGAGTCTGAATGATCAAATAACTAGGTCAATTGCCACTCTTGATTATATTATTGAATTATGGATTCTCTCTTGGTATAGTTTGGTTCTAAAGAACATGTTATTTTCTGTAACATGTATGTAGGCATGTTATTCTTTGTAACATATGTAATATATGTAGACGTGTTATTCTCTGTAACATGAATGCAGACATGTTACACAGGTTTCCACTAATGTGTAATGTTCACATGCAGCATACTCGGTCATGTATTATATTAATCCCTGTGACATTTCAACAACTACTATGCATCTCCTATATACTAGTTGTAGTTCTAGGTACTAAAAATATAGTGGTGGGAGAGGAAAGACAAAACATAAGTCCTAATAAACAAATAAGACAATCGTGAGATCTTGATAAGTGCTATGCTGATGGGACAATAACTGACCCATCCAGGAAATTCTCCCCATTTGAGTCTAAGGTGGATGACCTGAAAGGGCCAGTCAAGCAAACATCAGAGTGGTGAGCTCTGTAGGGAGAGGAAACAACTACTGCAAATGCTGTACTGCAGGGATGAGTTTGGTATTCAGAGAAACCAAAGAGGATCATCACATCTGGAACATCAAGGGTAAGAGAGAGAATGAAAAAGATAAAAAGAGAGTCAGCCAGTAGGAATGTACAATAGTATACCTGCTATAAAGAAACCATATAAGGGTCCCTCAAGAAATTTAAAATAGAATTAACATATGATCCTGCAATTCCTCATCTAAGTATAAATGCAAAAAGAATTGAAAGCAGGGACTCAAACAAATATTTGTACATCCATGTTGATAGCAGCATCATTTACAATAGCCAAAAGGTGGAAGAAATCAAAGTTTCCACCAATGTATAAATGCATTTTTAAAATGTGGTATATACACATAATGGAATAGTATTTGGCCTCTAAAAAGGAAACAATTGAATTTTTGAGACACGCTACAAGATGCAGGAGCCTTGGCAATGATATGGTAAATGAAATAGGCCAATCACAAAATGACAAAAACTGTGTAAATCTCCTTTTATGAGGTACCCAGGGAAGTTAAATTCATGGAGACAGAAAAGAGAATGGTGGTTGCCAGAGGCTGGGGGTTGGGGAGGTTGGCAGTTATTATTTAATGGGTACAGCACTTCACTTTTGCAAGATGAAAAGAGTTCTGGAGATGGGTGGTGGTGATGGCTGCATGACAACATGAATGTGCTTAATGCCACTGAACTGTATACTTAAAGATTGTTAGGATGGTAAATTTAAGGTTTTGTCTATTTTTCCATAATTGTAAACAATTACAAAAACAGAAAAAAAAGAGTGAGTCACTTACAGACCAGGTTACTATAGGCAAGGCAAGTCAAGATAAGTAAGAAGTTAGGTTTTATTCTAAGTAGAAGGAGAAGATCTTAAATGGTCTTGACTGGCAGGAATGGAGGTGTGAAGTGTGGTCTCATTGATATTACTGAAAGATCACTCTATTTTTCTGGGTGAAAAAGAAGTTTGGAGAGGAAGCATAGAATGAAACATGGAGACCATAAAATTGCTTTTGCTCTTGTCTAGATGGCTGTTGTGAAGATGATATAAAGTGGATAGATTTAGGACATTTGTAATGTGTAGTTAACAGAGCTATAGAGTAGATGTGAGTGGTGCAGGAAAAGGGAGATTTAATCATAACCCATAGGTCTTTGACTTGGTAACTGTTGGTTGATGAACTGAAATGAGGAAACACAGGTGAGATTTCCTTGGGTCATGTTCAATGTGAGATGCCTATTAGTCAAACCTGTGGC